>NC_000012.12:69126794-69278309 GCF_000001405.40 Homo sapiens
CTGGCTATATTCCTCAAGACTGTCAAGTCATGGAAATTAGGAAAGATTAAGAAACTGTCACAGACCAGAAGACACTGGAGAAGCAGGACACGAAACGCAATGTGGTTTCCTGGATTGAATCCTGGATCAGAAAAAATGACATCAGTAGAAAAACTGGGGTAATCCAAAGTCTGGAGTTTAGTTAATAGTAACATACCAAAGTCAGTTTCTTTTTTTTTTTTTAAATTTCATTTTAAGTTCGGGGGTACATGTGAAGGTTTGTTATATAGGTGAATTTGTGTCACAGAGGTTTGATATACAGATTATTTCATCACCCAGGTACTAAGCCTAGTACCCAATAGTTATTTTTTCTCTTCCTCTCTCCCTCCTCCCACCCTCCACCCCCAAGAAGATCCCAGTGTCTGTTGTTTCCTTCTTTGTGTTCCTAAGTTCTTATCATTTAGCTCCCATTTATAAGTGAGAACATGTGTTATTTGGTTTTCTGTTACTGCGTTAGTTTGCTAGGGATAATAGCCTCCAGCTCCATCCATGTTCCTGCAAAAGACATGATCTCGTTTTTTTTATAGCTGCGTAATATTCTATGATATATATATATATAGCACATTTTCTTTATCCAGTCTGTCATCGATGGGCATTTAGGTTGATTCCATGTCTTTGCTATTGTGAACAATACTGCAATGAACATTCACATACCTGTGTCTTTATGGTAAAATAATTCACATTCCTCTGGGTATACAGTAAGGGGATTGCTGGGTCGAATGGTTGTTCTGCTTTTTGCTCATTGAGGAATCGCCATACTGTTTTCCACAATGGTTAAACTAATTTACACTCCCACCAACAGTGTATAAGTGTTCCCTTTTCCCTGCAACCTTGCCAGCATCTGTTGTTATTATTATTATTATTATTATTATTATTATTATTATTATTATTGCCAATGTCAGTTTCTTTCTTTTTTTTTATTTGAGACAGAGTTTTACTCTTGTCACCCAGGCTGGAGTGTAGTGGTGTGATCTCGGCTCACTGCAACCTCTGCCTCTTGGGTTCAAGCGATTCTTCTGCCTCAGTCTCCCAAGTAGCTGGGATTACAGGCATGGGCCACCATACCCGGCTAGTTTTGTATTTTTAGTAGAGACAGGGTGTCACCGTGTTGGCCATGCTGGTCTCGAACTCCCGACCTCAGGTAATCCACCCACCTCAGCCTCCCAAAGTGCTGGGATTCCAGGCATGAGCCACTGCACCAATGTCAGTTTCTTAGTTTTGGCAAATGTACCACATTAATGTGAGATGTTAACATAGAGAAAACTGGGTAAGGGGTAAGTGGTAAAACTCTCTACTATCTTTGCAACTTTTCTGTAAATCAAAAATTACTCTGAAATTAAAAGTTTATTAAGGAAGAAACCCTATGTGGTAGGCACCAGGACAGTTTTACACCAGAAGACTGTAGCTTAAAGAGGTTAATTTGCCTATAGTATCACAGCTACCGAAGGATTTATCCTAATCTACCACTAGCACAATTTAAACAGGATTGCATGTGGTTCATTTAATCTCTTAGCACCTTTTGTGGTATCCTATGGGCCATTATAACCTGATGACTGCTGGGAGGGCCTGGCATTGCCACATAGCTCTTTTCCTGACCCAATAGCAGCACCTTATAGTATTTATTGAACATGCTTTATTTTATTTGATTGTTAAAACAACCCTCCAAAGTATTATTACATATTATATACAAGGAAACTAAGCCTTAAAGAGGTTCAGGGATGGGCACTGTGGCTCAAGCCTGTAATCCCAGCACTTTGGGAGGCTGAAGTGGGTGGATCACGAGGTCAAGAGATCGACAGCATCTTGGCCAACATGGTGAAACCCCTTCTGTACTAAAAATACAAAAATTAGCTGGGCGTGGTGGTGCGTGCCTGTAGTCCTAGCTACTCAGGAGGCTGAGGCAGGAGAATCACTTGAACCCAGGAAGCAGAGGATGCAGTGAGCAGAGATCACACCACTGTACTCTAGCCTGGCAACAGAGCAAGACTCCATCTCAAAAAAAAAAAAAAAAAGTTCAGTAACTTGCCCAATGTCATTCAGTAACTAATTGGAGTTTGAATGTGAACTCAAGTCTATGTAAAACCAAAGCATTGGCATAACCACTCCTAATTCACACTCTGTCCTGCCTCCATGCTGCTCATGGTTTTATCGGTCTTAACTATAGCAATAATGAATATTAATTATAGATGAGAAATGACTGTTACAGTGAATGGAAACTTTCTTAAGCACTTTTTGTAAAATAAGGCTGTCATCAGGAAACAATAATCAAAGCAACTATTCCTAGGGTCTTTGAGTTATACTTTCTCACTTTTCTAACAGAGCTGAGTTTTTCACTGCTTTTCTTCCTGCAGAGTCAATATTGCTGTTGTGCAGTGAGCTGGAGGCTGTTCTCTCTATGCATCATAAATACCAACTGTCATCAAAGAATATACACTATCTGCATGTGTGTTACTGAAATGAGCAAAAAGCATACAACTTCATTTCCAAGTTCCAGGATGATTTTATAAAATACACAGTTGAAACAAAATCTCTTAACTTTAGTAAGCGTTTTTGGAGGGAAAATTCCTTGTAGTTCCACATTATGTTTTAAACTCAAGGACTTAAGACCTCATATAGGCTTAAGATCTTTTTCTGTTTCTTTTGTCAACACATTTGTGTTCCCTCTTTTATTAATTATTTGTAAGCAAAATGAGGACAATAGAAGGCAACTTCTTTTGCTTTCCAAATTGTAATTTCTGAGGAAACTGTTGAAGAAAACTGCCCTTTTTTCATGTAACAAAAAATGTTTAGGTTGTGGCCATGCTATTTCTTTGCCGCTGAAGTTAAGGAAAGCCTAGTGCTCACTTTCTCCAGCTACCAGATGAGACAAACCACAGTTATTTCTTGGTCAAGAGACCTGAAAGGTTAAAATGTGGTCATCCGAGCCAGTAAAGAGAACACAGCAGTAACCTTTGACCTTCTCTCCTGCAACTCTAATTGCTTGTCCCAATGCTGGGCCAATGCTCAGCCCGTAGAGACATCTTCCATTGGGCCCAGAGACATCTTCCATTCAGAAGCTCAACTGGGGCTGAGGTTAATGAAGCCAGTCCACTCGCCCACCAGGTAAGCAACAAAAGTAGAGGCAGTAATATATCCTGGGAGCTCTCAGTGAAGCATCAGGCCTTATACTGAAATACTTTGTATTTTTTTCTTTGAGAAAAGCCTATTTTTCAGTAATAGTTCCGATTGATAACAACAGTAAAGCTAGAAGCAAGTAATGTGTATAAAATACCTACAAATGTACCAGGAATTGTACTACATGGTTTTACTCAAATGATCTAATTTAATCTTGAGTCAGGTGCTACTACTTATCTGCATGTTATAGGTGAAGAAATACAAGGCAATGATTTTGAAACAGTCTTCCTTAGAGCTCCCCCTGGGGAAAGGCAGGAAAATGAGGGCCAGACTCCAGATCCCCACTCCTAACTTAAGCAGAGCAGTTATGCTTTTATCTATTTTGCTTATTAGGCATTAATGGAAACTCATTTTAAAAAAGAGATCCATGCTGTAATGGTTAGTTTTATGTATCAATTTGGCTAGGCAATAATACCTAGTTATTTAATCAAACACTAATCTAGGTGTTGCTGGGAGGATATTTTGTACATGTGATTAACATGTACAGCAGCTGGCATGGTGACATGCCTGTAGTCCCAGCTACTCAGGAAGCTGAGGCAGGAGGATCGCCTGAGCCCAGGAGTTTCAGCCCAGCCTGGGTAATGTAGTGAGACCCCTGTCTCTAAAAAAATTAAAAAAAGATCATTATTTTTAAAAGTCACAACTAGTAGATTTTAGTAAAGGAGATTATTCTTCAAAATGTGGGTATTTTAGTATCATCCAATCAGTTGAAAGGCCTTATGAGCAAAAACTGATTTCCAGAGAGGAAGAAATTGTCTTAAGGCTGCAACATTGGCTAGGCGCCGTGGCTCACGCCTGTAATCCCAGCACTTTGGGAGGCCAAGGCGGACAGATCATGAGGTCAAGAGATTGAGACTATCCTGGCCAACATGGTGAAAACCCGTCTCTACTAAAAATACAAAAATTAGCTGGGCATGGTGGCACGTGCCTGTAGTCCCAGCTACTCGGGAGGCTACTTGCTTGAACCCGGGAGGCGGAGGTTGCAGTGAGCCAAGATCGTGCCACTGCACTCCAGCCTGGCAACAGAGCAAGACTCGGTCTCAAAAAAAGAAAAAAAAAAAAGACTGCAACATTAACTCCTGCCTGAGTTTCCAGCCTGTCCTAGAGACTTTGAACTTGCCAACCCCTACAATCACATGAGCCAATTCCTTAAAATATCCATCTATCTTTATCCTACTGGTTCTGTTTCTCTAAATAACCCTGACTGACACATGGTTTAAACAAAAGCTCTATAGCCTTGCTACTCAATCTGTGGTCTGCAGGGCAGCAGCATCCACATCAGCAGGGAGCTTATTAGCAATGCAGAATGTCAGGCCCCACCCTAGACATACTCAATTAAAAACTGCATTTTAACAAGATCCCCAGGTGATCCTTAAGCACATTAAGTTAGAGGAGGGCTTAATACAACATAAAGAAATTAGACCACAACGATTTTACCAAAATAAAATCCCCAAACATTTCAACCTTGAGGGAGACTCTGAAACTTCTGAAAAAGAAAATAAAAGTTCCACCTTGCCCCCTTTGAACTAGACAGCCCACTAACTGCCTTGTGTCAATGTCATCAACCGCGTGAACTTGTTCTGAAGCCTCCAGGCCACCAAAGCAGAGATATCATAAGCCCAGAAATAGACCTATTTGCTTCTATCAGAGATAGCTTGTCAGCTCCTACTGTATTGATATCCATTTCTCATCCTTCCTCGTGGAAATCAAACATTACTTTATTCTTCTTCATTAGTAGGAACATAAATCGAAGACAGTGAAAAGTGTTGACTAATTGATATCCAGTTCCAAAAGGACTTATAAAATAACTGTCTAAGACAAAGGCATCATCCAGGCTCAACCTTGGATAAAATCCATAAGATTGAATAGAATTTCATAATTTCTTCTCTTTGACTAAAATCCCTCCTGCTTCATATCCAGCTTTGCACTCAACCACCATGTGCTGCTGAAGAAAAGGGTGAGATAATTTCTTTAACCGTTACTGCTCAGTCCATTCATCAGCCCAGGGATAAAACACACCTGACAAGAGCCTCATGTCATTCTCTGTAGCTGAGATTTACAGTACCAGCAGGTGAGTAAGTCACCACCTGCACTGGATGCTATAACTCAGAATTATTTAAATCCTCCTGTGCTTCTGCTAGAATCATTTTCATAATTCATTTTATATACTATTTTTTTTTTAGAAAGGGTCTCACTCTCTTGCCTAGGCTGGTGTACAGTGACGTGATTATGTTTCACTACAGCCTCAACCTCTTGGGTTCAAGCAAGCCTTCCACCTCAGCCTCCCAAGTAGCTGGGACTATAGGCATGCACCACCATACCTGGCTGATTTTTAAATTTTTTGCAGAGATGGGGTCTTGCTTTGTTGCCCAGGCTGGTCTCATACTCCTGGGCTCAAGCAATCCTCCTGCCTCAGCCTCCTGAAGTGCTAGGATTACAGGCGTGAGCCACCATGCCTAGTCCCGTGTTATAGTCTAAATAGACTTGTGGGAAACCATTTCATATGCCAAGAGTCAAAATGAATGACTAGGCTGGGCATGGTGGCTCACGCCTGTAATCCCAGCACTTTGGGAGGCTGAGGCAGGCAGATCACCTGAGGTCAGGAGTTCAAGACCAGCCTGGCCAATATGGTGAAACCCCATCTCTACTAAAAATACAAAATTAGCCGGGCATGGTGGTGCATGCTTGTAATCCCAGCTTCTTGGGAGGCTGAGGCAGGAGAATCGCTTGAACCCAGGAGGCAGAGATTGCAGTGAGCCAAGATCACGCCATTGCACTCCAGCCTGGGCAAAAAGAGCGAAACTCCATCTCAAACAAACCAAAAGCCAAAAAAAAAAAATTGAATAATCTGGTAGGAGACAGTGAGCACCTTTATCCTCAGGCATCACAGCAATTCTCATAGAAATTAGAAGATTTGTGAAATTTCCTCTGGTGAGCAAAGGCTATCCTGCCTTGTCTTTAGCACAGTGGGAACCTGTGGTGCCAGGTGAGCAGGAGGAAAGCCAGGCCCCACCTAAGTTGCATGCTGAGTTCTCATGGGTGGCCCTTTTTTCCTCAATAGCTTGGTGGCCAGATAGCAGCTGGATAGCTCCACTTTAGGTCACCCTAAACATTAATGGTTCTCAACTGGAGAGGGAACAGAATTGTACTGAGCACTTTGTGAAAATGCAGCCCACACCCAGAGATTTGGGTTCCGTCAGCCTGGAGTGGAGCACAGAAGTGTTTGTTAGCAAACTCTCTGCAGGTGATTCTGATAGTCTTCACCTTGCTTGGGTCTCCCTACTTTATAATGATGCTATCTTGGCTGCACGTTAGAATCTTCTGGGGTAGAGAGGAAGGGCTGTTTAAAAATCCTAATGCCCAGATTGTTACTCAGATCAACTAAATCTGACTCTCTGGGAATGAGCCCAGGCATGTGTAGCTTTAAAGCTTCCAGGTGATTCCAATATCTAGCCAAGGTTGAAAACCATCATGCCAGGAACTCTTTCCATCAGGGCTTCTCAAACTTTAACGGAGGAACACTTCACCTGGGGATCTTGATAACACTGTAGATTCTGTTTCAGCGGGTCTGGGGTGGAGCCTGATTCTGCATTTCTAATAAGCTTCCAGGTGATGTCAGTGATGCTGGTCCTTGGACCACCCTTTGAGTAGAAAGGCGTTAAATGACACTATGTCAGCATTTCTAATAGAGTGTTCTCTGTGCTCTAGTGTTAATAAATTTGAGTTTAACTAAGGTTACAAGATAAAATACAAGACATCAGCTAGATATGAATTTCAGGAAAACAGTTGATAATATATGCATAGCATTAAAATGTCCAAATGTTACATGACACACCTTATACTAACGAATTATTTGTTACTTATCTGAAATTCACATTTAATTAGGTGTTCTATTTTTTGTTTTGTTTTTTGTTAAATATGGCAACAGATTTCTTGGTTTTTCTGCTTTATTTTGATGGCAAAGTGTTGCTCGGCAAAAGTGCTGGACATCAAGTATCTTGGAGGCTGGGTGTGGTGGCTCACACCTGTAATCCCAGTGCTCTGGGAGGCCAAGTCGGGAGGATTGCTTGAGCCCAGGAGTTTCAGGTTACAATGAGCTCTGATCATGCCACTGCACTTCAGCCTGGGCAACAGAGCAGGAACTTGTATTATTATTATTTTTTTATTACTTCTTTTTTGAGATGGAGTTTCACTCTTGTTGCCCAGGCTGGAGTGCAATGGTACCATCTTGGTTCACCGCAACCTCTGCCTCCTGGGTTCAAGCGATTCTCCTGCCTCAGCATCCCAAGCAGCTGGGATTATAGGCACCCACCACCATGCCCAGGTAATTTTGTATTTTTAGTAGAGACGAGGTTTCTCCATGCTGGTCAGGCTGGTCTTGAACTTCCGACCTCAGGTGATCTGCCAGGAACTTGTATTTTTAAAAAGTACTGAATGTCAAGTCTCTTTACAGGATGTGGATGACTGAGAATATGAGTGTTCCAATCCTCTCCCCAGGCGAAAGCACACATGTGTACATATACATAATGTTGTGCAAGGGTAGCTGCTACTAAAGCCCATTCTCAAACCCTCTAGTGATCCCATGGGCCCTGGTGAGAAAGCCCATGTCACCCTCCCGCTCAGCAGAAGAGTTGTTCCCGATTGCCTGTTTCCCAAAAAGTTGTTCTGTGGGTCACCAGTTTCACAAAATGTTTACAGATTTTGCATGAAAAAGGTGTTTTGTGGGAAAAAAAAATGCAAATTTTAGATTAAACAAAATTAAGCAGGTTTCTTTCTTGAAAGACCTTGCAAGTGTTTAACAGATGATTGTGCTTTGGGGTTCTCCCAAAAAAGAGATAAAGCGTCTAGTATTTCCCAAATTTATATCGTCAAATATCTTTCTTCTTAAAGGGTATCTCCTAGGATTAGGATTGTCTGAAACACTCTTTAAGGAATGTTGCCTAATTAAATCTGCTTCCCAAGTCTGGCCAACATGGCAAAACCCTGTCTCTACTAGAACTACAACAATTAGCTGGGTGTGGTGCCACATGCCTGTAATCCCAGCTACGCAGGTGTCTGAGGCACAAGAATCACTTGAACCTGGGAGGTGGAGGCTGCAGTGAGCCAAGATCACGCCACTGCACTCCCACCTGGGAGACAGAGCAAGATTCTGTCCCAAAAATAAATAAATAAACAAACAAACAAATAATCTGGCCGGGCACAGTTGCTCATGCCTGTATTCCCAGCACTTTGTGGGACTGAGGCGGGTGGATCACCTGAGGTCAGAAGTTTGAGACCAGCCTGGCCAACATGGCGAAACCCAGTCTCTAAGACAACAAATAGGAGCCGGGTGTGGTGGCGTGTGCCCTGTAGTCCCAGCTACTCAGGAGGCTGAGGCAGGAGAATTGCTTGAACCTGCGAGGTGGAGGTTGCAGCGAGCCGAGATTGTGCCATTGCACTCCAGCCTGGGCAACAGAGTGAGACTCCATCTCAATAAATAAATAAATAAATAAATAAATAAATAAATAAATAAAAATCTGCTTCCTTGTTTTCCTTCTTAATATGAAAAGAATAAATGCTTATTATGAAAAATTTGGAAAGTATGGAAAATATAATAAGAAAATGCTACTCATAATCTTATCACCTAGAGATAACCATTGTTAACATTTTAACCTATTTTACCTTCTAAACTATGAAAGTTGGTGCTCAAGAAATGAAAAGCTTTCATGAGTGAAATAGGACTTTTGAATGTAGGAAGGGAATCTTGATGAGCTGGAAGGCGAAGGGTGGAGTAATAAAAGGTGTGTTTGAGTATTAATGGCAATAAGAAGGAGGGATTGGGAGATAATTTTCCATTTTACCATTTCTTGTTGTGGATAAGAGAATATGTCATTAAATTTCTAGGTATTTATTCCAGATGCTAAGTTTCTGATTAACAAACAGCTGAGATCTGACTCAATTAGCACAGAAATGGCTCCATAACTTCAGTTTCTTCCACACTAGCATTAGTTCTTGCATTTACCACTTCATTGGATCTCAAAGGCAAACAGTGTTGCTAGGACAGGCAGTTGAGTGTTTCTCTATAACCACTGAAATAGAATTATATCCTCCATCATTCACAAAGCCATAATATGCCAACATCCATCATGTTGGCATATTAAAAGAAAAGCTAACGTGCTTATAATCCTTGTTTACTAAGCACTTGTGCATAGGTTGTGTTCCTGGAGTCTAATAGCCACCCTGGGAGAGGCAGGAAGGTTGGGATGTATGATTGTCTTTTTTATTTTAAAGGAAGTGGGACTCACAGAGATTAAGTGACTTACTCAAGCTAGTAAGTGGCAGACCTTGAATGAAAATTGTCTTTTGACTCCACCTTCTGTGCTGTTGCATGAAACAGCCAAGAAAAAAAAACTTGTGTGCCATGTTTGATTTTCTAAAGGCTTCAAGAGCATTGCATTTTCATGAAAAACGTTATTTTTTTGAGGTCAGCAAGTATAGACATTCTTTTAAAGCATGGAATTTTATCTTTTTTAATTTTTTAATTTTTTAATTTTTTTTTATTTTTTATTTTTTGAGACAGAGTCTCACTCTGTAGCCCAGGCTGGAGTGCAGTGGCGAAATCTCGGCTCACTGCAAGCTCTGCCTCCGGGTTCATGCCATTCTCCTGCCTCAGCCTCCCAAGTAGCTGGGACTACAGGCACCCGCCACCACGCCCGGCTAATTTTTTGTATTTTTTTAGTAGAGACAGGGTTTCACCGTGTTAGCCAGGATGGTCTCGATCTCCTGACTTCATGATCTGCCCTCTTCGGCCTCCCAAAGTGCTGGGATTACAGGCGTGAGCCACCGCGCCCGGCCTAAAGCATGGAATTTTAAAGCATGGAATTCATTTTTAAAAGAATCTCCTATCTCATTCTTCTGCTATCTTCTGGCCCCACTGCATGAGTGTTTCAAAATAAATACTGTGTTTTTAATGCTATAAGCACAAACTTGAACTAAATCTTGAAACTTTCACTCCATGGATATTTAATGAGCACCTTTCTAGATTCCACAGGAGGCAGGTAGCCTGACTCCACATTCCCATGCTGTTAACCACTAAGCAATGGAGGCTCTCCAAGCTCCCACCCATTCTTTCAAGGCAAATCCTGAACAGTGATTTTTTTTCTGACAGTTTTTCCATCTTGAGAAATAGTTTTAAGGAACTGTCTCCAATGAGCAATGCATAACATTCATTCCATCATTTATGCAACAAGTATTCATTGAGCACCTACTCCATGCCAAGGAGCTGAAGCACAGTAAGAAATAAGACAGAGAGGTTGCCTGCACTTAAAGACAACAAATGAACAGGGTAATTTCAGATGACATATGCTGTAAAAAAAAAACTGGAACAGGAATCGGGCATGGTGGCATGAGCCTGTAGTCCCAGCTGGGCTGAAGCAGGAGAACCACTTGAGACCAGGAGTTTGAGGTTACAATGAGCGATCATTGCACCACTGCACTTCAGCCTGAGTGACAGAGTGAGAGCCAGTCTCTAAATTTTAATTTTAATTAAAAAAAATAGAACAGGGCAATATGATGAGATAGGATGATATGAAACAGTGAGTGACTGAGAGTCAGGAGGCTGCTTTATTTATTTATTTTTTACACTTCAGTTTACATGAAGTAGACTTATTTTATTTTCAGTCAATGGTGGAAAGGAAGTAATGCCATTTCTGTCCTCTGAATCCAAAAGGTAGCCCTGCTAGATTTGGAAAGTTAAATATCTGTAAGTTGTTAGCATTGTGATGTTTCAATAATTCTTTCTTGATTTTATTTATCTGATTTCCTGATTTTTCTCTAATGAAAATGTGTAATTTTATAATTAAAAAAGCAACACAATATAAAGTTATTATTTTACAAACTGACTATGCTAGCCAGGCCTGACACTTTTTTTTTTTTTTTTGAGACGAAGTCTTGCTCTGTCACCCAGGTTGGAGTGCAGTAACTTAATCTCGGCTTACTGCAGCCTCCGCCTCCTGAGTTCCAGCAATTCTCCTGCCTTGGCCTCCCAGGTAGCTGGGATTACAGGTGCCTGCCACCATGCCTGGTTAATTTTTGTATTTTTAGTAGAGACAGGGTTTCACCTTGTTGGCCAGGCTGGTCTCGAACTCCTGACCTCAGGTGAACTGCCCACTTCAGCCTCCTGAAGTGCTAGGATTACAGGTGTGAGTCACCGTGCCTGGTCTCAGGCCCAACACTTCTGACACTCTCCCCCTTCCCACATCCTCACCCTCCCAATGAGGAACATACAGTGCCACTGACCATGGCAGCCCACACACTAGACTGAGCAAGTCTCTGAGCGCACATGGTTCCCTCACACCAGAATAAGGGAAAAATCAGAAAGTTCTCCGTTCTTTTTTAAAAATAGTTTATATTAGGTTCAGGGATACACATGCAGGTTTGTTATACAGGTAAATTGCATGTCATAGGAGGCGGCTTTAGACTGGATGCCAGGGAAGCAAGCCCCTTTGAGGAGCTGGTATTTGACAGGCAGATCTCAAACATTCAATAATCTAATGGATGCCTCAGTTTGTTCCAATTAACACTCAATCCAAATGTTCCTACTTCATGCAGTTTCATGGCTTTGATTTAATATTTCCAAATATTTGAAATTTTCTCCTTTTGGCAAGGTTTCTTTGTGAACATTTCTATATTAATTTGATGTTTGAAAGGCAGATTGGTAAGACTTATATTTATATGAAATAATTCTCTATTCCCCCTTTTCTTCTCAAAATGGTTTTATTAGCTGCATCAATAAACTGGCTGTATTAGACCATTCTTGCAGTGGCCTTGAAAACATGTTTCTTCCTGGTGTATGAGACTTTGGTTTGCATGTGTATGGTTTCCTTGCCTGGTGGGGACAGTAGGCATTCAAAGAAAGGCATATTATTTTCCCTCTTGCCCACCCCAATACAGGTGGGAAAGAATCTGTCTCTACCCTACCCTAATCCATCAGGCCACCATACATCTCTAGTGTGTGCAAGCAGCCAAGGAACCTCAGAGTCCGGAGCCTACAGTGAGAATGCCTGGGAAATTTGCAACTTATGAGTGTGTGTTTCTTTTTTGCTCAGGACAATGCGCAATGTGTGTATTACAGTCATCCAGGAAGTCTTTTCAAACTATACCTCTTCTATCATCACTAAATGTGTATCAGGATGGGGAGGGTGATATGGGGAGAAAAGGTGAACTTCGGGGGTTCCACACTGTCTTACCCTTCTTAATACAATGACTGCATGGAAGTAGTGAGCCAAATCTGAATGGTAATTTATGAATTGACAGTGATGAATTACTTATCTTGTATTCAAAAAGTAACTATTGAACCAGAATGCTATACTCAGCAGTAGGGACTAGAAAGATAAATAAAATATGATTTCTACCTTCAAGGGGCTCAGAATTTAGTTGGCAGGAGAGATTTGAAAATGGATAAATTCTTAGAAGTGAGATAAGGCCAAATATAAATGTTAGGAATAAATGGAATGTTAAGTTCCATTCAGTTGAGGACTAAGCTCTGATTTTTTATCTTGCCCAAATTCCTACCTGAGGGATCTAGGGAGTCATGTTCTACAAAACATAAATTCTCATCAGATGGGTTTTATTTGACCCTATATAACATGACTTACTTTTCAATCTGACTGTGGCATAACATTACACGACAAGGAAAAAATATTTAACCCCAAAATATATTTCCTTGCCATACCTCAAAATTGCCCTGCAAAGTCTCTTGTGGGAAAAATCCACATCCTATTGAGAATTCCTTTTCCCCTTTGTTTTCTTTCCTTTCTTTCCAGATCCAGGAGATAGTCAGCTAAGAATCAGGCACCCTTTTAGGTCTGACAAGAAGCATTTTACAACCTGCTCTCTCTCTGAAGTCTGCTATCTGAGAGATTCCTCTGCACAATAAAACTTGGTCTCCACAATCCTTTATCTTAACCTGAACATTCCTTTCCATTGATCCCAGGACTTCAGATAAATTCAACCAATTGTCAACCAGAAAATGTTTAAATTTACCTATAGCTGGAAGCCCCCCCTTTGAGTTGTCCCACCTTTGTGAACCAAACCAATATATTTCTTAAATGTATTTGATTGATGTCTCATGCCTCCCTAAAATATATTAAACCAAGCTGTACCCCGGCCACCTTAGGCACATGTTCTCAGGACATCCTGAGGGCTGTCATGGGCCATGGTCACTCACATTTGGCTCAGAATAAATCTCTTAAAATATTTTAGAGTTTGACTCTTTTCATTGACAATAATCTGGCGCCCAATGTGGGGCCTTAGAGAAGACTCAGGACCCCCGAAGGAGTTGCATGAAACCAGAGCTAAGGTACCAGCAGGGGTCCATTGAAGCCACACTGAGTTTGAGCTTCTCCTCCAGTGGAACTGGTAAGTCCTCCTGAGCCCCAGACCTCCCTTTGATTGACCGTCCTTGATTTATTTGGAGCTGGTTTTCTCCCAGGAAGTTTTGTTTAAGCATCCTAATTCTAGTTCAGAGATATATTATAAAGGGAATTCTCTCTTGCTTTTTCTCCTTAAATTTATCCTGATTTGGTTTGTCTGTGTGCATTTGCATGAGGAACTGAACTGTTGTTTTCATAGATAAATGAGAGACTGAGTCTTTCAGCTCCAAAGAGAAAGGGCATTTGCTTCTCCCAGCCAAAAGGCACCTGTGGGTGACCAGTGGCCTTGTGGGAGTGTCTGGGGGGGTTGACCGCCTGTGATGTGCAGTGGCCCTGAGGGGAAATCTCCAATAAAAATTAATTTAAAAAATGGTTCATCCAGGAATCACATATAAGGGCTGATCGCCCAGCATTTTGAGCCCTCTCAGAAGTCATAGAACCCTGGAGAGATAAACTGAGACACGTAAGAGGGTGGAAATGACTCAGTGGTTACACACTGTGGAGTCCTGCCCACAAGCAGCACGCATTGATCCACCACACAAAAACCCTAGGCTACAGCTCAGTTCCTCCTTTTAAGAAAAAAGAAAAAAAAAGCTGGAAACAAATCTAAGGAGAATGACCCCCTTTCAGACAGTCTGCAGGTTTTATAGCACCTGTACGTGCCAGAGTTTATATAAAATGGAAGTAAGATGGTCTTTATGCATGTTTACATTAAGGAAAAAGAGTCCTAAGGTCATCCTGCACACTATAGAGTACCTAGGTTCTATTTTCTTTTCTGCCTGCTTTAATCTGCTCTTACTTTTCTACTGAGATAAAAACCACTGTTTGGATCTAACAGTGTTTTTTGCAAGCTGGCAAAAGTTGTATTTATTGCATGGCTAAAGTACTGAAGTAGTAGCTATGGAAATTTTGTGCATGTATGTGTGTTTGTATATGCGTGTGTATATATTTAAAGGCCTTTAAAATAGACCTCTATAATTTTATGTTCAATTGGCAATTTAATCCATTTTAATTTCCCTCTAGCACACCAGACTTTCTCTTTGTACTTTATGATGTAAATTAGCTATCTGATTTTCACCTGAGCTGCATTTATTTTTTTTTTTCAAGATGGAGTCTTGCTCTGTCTTGATTTTTTTTTCAAGATGGAGTGCAGTGGCATAAGCTCAGCTCACTGCAACCTCCATCTCCCGGGTTCAAGCAATTCTCCTGCCTCAGCCTCCCGAGTGGCTGAGATTACAGGCGTGCACCACCATGCCTGGCTAATTTTTGTATTTTTAGTAGGGACAGGGTTTCACCATGTTGGCCAGTCTGATCTTGAACTCCTGACCTCAGGTGATCCACCCACCTCTGCCTCCGAAAGTGCTGGGATTACAGGCATGCGCCACTGTGTAGGCTTGAGCTGTCTTTAATATGCAAATTTAAGGCTATTTAGGTGACAACTGTCTGGGTAAGATAAAAATAAAATGAAAAAAGAGGTCTTTATAAGTCTATACAATGTACTTCTATTGACATGCCTAGTACATCTATATATTTATGTGTGTGTGCACAATATTTTCACTGCAAAAAATATACAAAGAGCTCTAATTAATCGGCTTTTTAAAAAAGCACTTAGGGCCAGGCGCGGTGGCTCACACCTGTAATCCCAGCACTTTGGGAGGCCGAGGCAGGCAGATCACAAGGTCAGGAGTTCGAGACCTGCCTGACCAATATGGTGAAACCCCATCTGTACTAAAAATACAAAAATTAGCCAGGTGTAGTGGTGCACACCTGTAATCCCAGCTACTCAGGAGACTGAGGCAGAAGAATCGCTTGAACCAGGGAGTCAGAGGTTGCAGTGAGCCGAGATCATGCCACTGCACTCCAGCCTAGGCGACAGAGTGAGACTCTGTCTGAAAAAACAAACAAACAAACAACAACAACAACAACAAAAAACGAGCTTAAATCAGATACAAAAAAAAAAAAAAAAAAAAAGGTGGCCGGCCGAGGTGACTCACACCTGTAATCCCAGCACTTTGGGAGGCCAAGGCAGGCAGATCACGAGGTCAGGAGATCGAGACCATCCTGGCTAACACAGTGAAACCCTGTCTCCACTAAAACATACATAAAAAATTAGCTGGGCGTGGTGGTGGGCACCTGTAGTCCCAGCTACGCAGGAGGCTGAGGCAGGAGAATAGCATGAACCTGGGAGGCAGAGCTTGCAGTGAGCTGAGATCGCACCACAGCACTCCAGCCTGGGTGACAGAGTGAGACTCCGTCTCAAAAAAAAAAAAAAAAGGCTAGTAAAATGCTTTTTCAAGTTCACATGACTTAAGTGAAATCTTTACTAAATAAGCTGGCTTTAAAATTATTGGTAAAATAATATCAGCAATGTCTTTAGAATTATTAGCATTTTTGTTTGCATTTATTGATTAAGTAGTTTCATGTTTATTCCTGCAGAATACTATAAGATTTGCCATAAGGTTTATAAACTATAAAACCCAGCCCAAGACAGAATGATCTTTGCCTGTATATGCTTATGAAATATTGCTGGCTTAAATGAAAACAGTTAAATACTAAGTTATTGGTATAAATACCCTTAAAACTAACCATAAGTTTTATTACTTAAGTAAATGCCTGAAATTCACAGCTATAAAAATGGTTAATAGCAATATAACTTTAAATATTGGCTATCACAGTTTTTCAAAAATAATCTAGGTAAACTACTAAATTAATCACGTAAATGTAATGGAATAAATGCTTGTAAACAAATTCATCATAATTTAGGATCTAAGGTTATTAATTGATATTATCTGGACAATTTCCAATTTAAAAATTACCCGAAAACATTTTTTTAAATGTTCTTATTAAAAGTAAAATATCTTTGTCTAATTCAAGGCTTATTTAAGGGTTATGCATAAAACAAAGTAAAGGAATCAGGAAATAAGAGATGTAAAGAAAGTAGGAGATATAAAGAGGCATTTTTGGTAAAAAGAGGTAAAAAAGGAAAGTAATTTTATATACGAAAGAATCTTGGCCAGGTGCGGTGGCTCACATCTGTTATCCCAGTGCTTTGGGAGGTCAAGGCGGGTGGATCACCTGAGGTCAGGAGTTTGAGACCAGCCTGGCCAGCATGGTGAAACCCCATCTCTACTAAAAATACAAAAATTAGCTGGGCGTGATGGTGGGTGCCTATAAACCCAGCTACTCGGGAGGCTGAGGCAGAAGAATCGCTTGAACCCCTGAGGCGGAGGTTGTGGTGAGCCGAGATTACGCCATTGCACTGTAGCCTGGGCAACAAGAGTGAAACTCCATCAGAAAAAGAAAAGAAAAGAAAAGAAAGAAAGAAGGAAGGAAAGAAGGAAGGAAGGAAGGAAAGAAAGAAAGAAAGAAAGAAAGAAAGAAAGAAAGAAAGAAAAGAAAGAAAGAAAGAAAGAAAGAAAGAAAGAAAGAAAGAAAGAAAGAAAGAAAGAAAGAAAGAATCTTGTGTGGTAATACATTTTTGTCCTAAATTAAAAATGACGGGGTTATATAAGAAAGAGAGATATTTAAGACAAAACAGTTTAAACACGTTGGAATGAACTATATAAGTTGTAATAAAGTTAGTAAGAAGGAATTTTTAAAGGGGTTGTAGAATTCAATTGGCTATGATTAAAAAGAAATTATAATAGTCTTTTCAGAGATGGGTCTTTAATATTAAAAATACACTAATACAAAACTAAAAAAATAGTTAAAGCAAGATTTTTATTACAAATATTTAACCTATTTTAACGCAAAATTTTTAAATTTGAAATTCTATAATCTGTTTCTTTAATATTCTTCAGGTTGATATCTTTTTTTTTTTTTTTCTGAGATGGAGTCTCACTGTTTTGCCCACGCTGGAGTGCAGTGGCACGATCTCAGCTCACCGCAACCTCCACCTCCCAGGTTTAAGTGATTGTCCTGCCTCAGCCTCTCGAGTAGCTGGGATTACAGGAGCACACCACCACACCCGGGTAATTTTTTATTTTTAGTAGAGATGGGGTTTCACGATGTTGGCCAGGATGGTCTTGAACTCCTGATCTCAGGTGATCCACCTCCTTCGGCCTCCCAAAGTGCTGGGATTACAGGTGTGAGCCACTGCACCCAGCCCAGATTGCTACCTTAAAAGTGCAACTCTTTCTTTTTTGAAAAGGCCTTGAATCATGGCTCTCTCCTTCACCTTTTGTTGGTTCCTGTAACTTTTACTAATTACCTAAAGGAAGAAAAATTCTTTTTGAAAACAGGCAAATAAAGTATCTTTTGAACATGCTTTTTATTCTGCATGCCTGTTATATCTCTATATTTGTCATGTGGAAGTGATATTTCACTTCCAAACTACATGAAAGAGCTCTAATCAGGTGACTTAAAATATGTAAGTACTTGTCACATTGGTAAAAGCTAGCTCAGATGCCTTTTAATTTGCAAAACCTTGGTAATCCTTGGGAAAAAATTAATTTGGTAAATTTAATTTCAAAATTCTCCAGGAATTTAAAAACCTTAAAGTCACATTTAAACCTTCGGGTTCCCCCAAACACACACACTGGAAATTTGGGTTACTAAAAAGTTAAAATAGTAGAAGCAAAAATACGCTTTTGTTAAAATTTTATAAACACAAGGATGTCAATTCTCAAAAAAAATGTAAGTTTCTTTTTGGTGAAGGAACTATTTAAGAGTTGCTTTATTATGAAGGGTATTATACAGATAAAACTAAATAAGTTTTTTTAAAACACAAGTCAAAGCAACAAAACTCTGAGCCCTATGGTTACCAAGAAAATAGTCGGTAAGTAGGAAGAGCAAAACCAAGTAACTATTTAAAACCAAAGGGCGTGATGTAAAGGAATTGTTCTATTTTGTAGGGTGGTGTCATTCAGCTTCTTTTAAAAATCTTAACTATAGTGGATTGAAAAATAACCACTTTAAGGACAAAATTCTTAATTTTAAATGCAGCAGCATTTAAGAGCTTGTTTGGATTAATGCAGGACCCACAGCTCATTACTGAACAGTCACTGAGTATATGTGATCCAAATGCACAGGGGGTTATTCCTGAGAAAGTAATCAGCCTAGTAGGCCAGATAATGCCATTGTAAGGTCTGTTTGCCCTGAGAAGGGGACTGCCCCACTCTCTGTTCTAACATATGAATTACTCTGATAACTGTCAAACTATAAATGTTATTTCTCTCTCCTTGTTTTACCTCCAAGGAAACCAAAATCATGGTATTCTGAAGACCAGAGATATGAATCTATCTCATTTGGCATCTCACTGGCCCTGGATCTGCTTCACGGCCAATGCTTTGCTGCCAAAACTATACAAACTACCTCTCTCTAGGCCCAGGGACTATTGCAGAAGAGGTGGGTGCGTAAGATTGTAAGGGCTGGTTTTGAGGGATAAAATTAGGACAAGATCAAACCCTCCAAATCAAGAAGAGGGTACAAAAAAATGCCTAAACAGCTGGTAAAACAAGTCTAGTTGCCCTTTAAATTATTATGTGACACTTTTACATACACCCCAACCACAGACATTTTCTGCTTACTATAAAATTAAAGGAAAATATTGGCTAACAGGTTAAAATACCTTGTAACAAAGCCTCCTGGGTATAATACTCCCAATTATAAGTTGTGAAGATAAATATATCTATATATATAGATAGATAGTTTTAATTATTTTTCAGAAAAATGCTTATGTTTTGTGTAGCTAGTTGCTACAAGTCTGTAACAGAAGCCAAGTTTACAGTAGCTCAACACATAAAAGTTAAAAATAAGTCAGTCTTGTAACTTTGCCTTTTGGTTTTATTGTCGGCTTTTTTTTTACTTAAAATAATAATTTTAAGAAGTAACGAATGCCTGTCCACATCTATTCCTATGTGGCCTAGAACAATTAATTGGCTATAAGTCTTTGGATTCTTTTTTTGAGATGGAGTCTCAAAATGTTGCCCAGGCTGGAGTGTAGTGGCACGATCTCGGCTCACTGCAACCTCTGCCTCCCAGGTTCAAGCAATCCTCCTGCCTCAGCCCCCCTAGTAGTTGGGATTACTGGCATGTGCCACCATGCCTGGCTAATTTTTGTATTTTTAGTAGAGACGGGGTTTTGCCATGTTGGCCAGGCTGGTCTCGAACTCCTGACCTCAGGTGATCCACCCACCTCGGCCTCCCAAAGTGCTGGGATTACAGGCATGAGCCACCATGCCCGGTCAGTCTTTTGACTCTTAAGGCCCTCAACCATAGGAAGTCCTGCCAAGGAAAAAAATGACACTGTAGAATTATGACTTCTCTTATGACAGAACCTTTTATCTCCCAAATACCAGTATATGGTGCAATACAAAAGTGGTGGGAAAAATAGATTTGTCTACTGTTAACAAGTCTATAACAATTTAGACACCAAGGACCAGGTGTTTCTTGCACTTAATTTATACCCTCCTCAGGATGCTATACCTATGGAGATAAATTGTCTGGAAGAGAGATTAAATTTATTAAATTCTAATTTAATGTTGGTCCCATAATTTTTAAATAAGATTTATCACAGGGTTCAAACAACCCTTAAGGAGGGTAAACACACTGTGAGTCTGATCAAAGAATATGATGATGATTGCAGGATTTTTTTTTTCTGGCTGATTGGGTTGTTTACTGCCCTCTCATTCTACCTGTAATCTTGGATGCCCAAATCTTCACTATCTTTATGATATTTGCTACTATATTAACATTAGACATTCCTTGTAAATGTTATGCCAGATACAGCAGAAGGAAAAGGCACAATTAAAGACCCAGATCATGATAGCTCAGAAAATAGACCTGATCCAGGATTTTTATTTTTAGACAACAAGAGCAAAACTCCGTCTCAAAAATAAATAAATAAATAACAGAAACCACTCATTGTAGACCCATCTTCTCCACCACAACTGAATTACCATCCTTGCCAAATTTCATTTGTGGCCCTTGACATATGACATATGAACAGACACAAAAGAAACCTCATATAAATTTTATAGGAGGAAAGTTAGACTTGTAGATTTTAGCGTTGCTAGAGCCTTTAGAAATCATCCTTTTACAACCCACTCTTTCTACTAATAACACAACTAAAGCCAAGTTTAAGTAACTTGCTTAAGGTCACACAGCTGCTTGGTGGCAGAAGCAGAAAGCTCTCATTCTCCCGATCTCTCTAGTGCTGTATTGCAGGTGTCATCTGCGAATTTGCTGCAGATGGTTTTGTAGAAAGAAGTAAATATTTAAAAAAATTCCTCGGCCAGGCGCGGTGGCTTACGCCTATAATCCCAGCACTTTGGGAGGCTGAGGCAGGCAGATCATGAGGTCAGGAAGTCGAGACCATCCTGGCCAACATGGTGAAACCCCGTCTCTACTAAAAATACAAAAATTAGCTGGGCGTGGTGGCACATGTCTGTAATCCCAACTACTCGGGAGGCTGAGGCAGGAGAATCACTTGAACCAGGGAGTCAGAGGTTGCAGTGAGCCAAGATTGTGCCACTGCACTCTAGCCTGGTGACAGAGCAAAAAATAAAAATAAAAATTCTTCTCAGCTCACCCATATAGTAAGATCTAGACAAGCCTTGTACAAAAGACTGTTCAAAAGGAAAAAAAGTCACAGGCTAAGAGAGGTGTATTAGGAAGTATTTGGTACCATGACCTGTCCCCCAACACACTGCATGACCCTTGGCTGCAAGGAGCATACCCTCACAGGCTGGGTGATACGGTTTGGCTATGTCCCCACCCAAATCTTATCATGAATTATAATCCCATAATTCCCTCATGTGGAAGGAAGGACCAGGTGGGAGCAGACTGGATCACGGGGACAGTTTTCCCCCATGCTGTTCTCATGATAGTGAGTGAGTTCTCACAAGGTCTGATGGTTTTATGAGTGTTTGACAGTTCCTCCTTCACATGCTGGCACTCTCTCCTGCTGCCTTGTGAAGAAGGTGCTTGCTTCCCCTTCTGCCATGATTGCAAGTTTCC
This sequence comes from Homo sapiens, assembly GCF_000001405.40. Taxonomy (NCBI): domain Eukaryota; kingdom Metazoa; phylum Chordata; class Mammalia; order Primates; family Hominidae; genus Homo; species Homo sapiens. The sequence goes on from NC_000012.12 coordinate 69,148,379, forward strand.
TGAGGCCTCCCCAGTCATGTGGAATTGTGAGTCAATTAAACCTTCTTTGTTTATAAATTACCCAGTCTCAAGTAATATCTTTATAGCAGTGTGAAAACAAATGAATACACTGGGTATTTTTCCTCCGGATGGATGTGCCATTAGTGACCCTCTTTGGCCATGCATGGTCTGATACTGAGCCCTTGTTAATGATTGCTTTTTCTATGAGAGAAGTAATAAAGGGTCAACTAAAGGGTCAAGTCAGAACTTGGTAGATCTCACTGTAAAAAAAAAAAAAAAGCAAAGCCACCTCCAACTGGGGACAGTCCTCATTTAGGGCCCAAGACATCAACACACTGCGAAAGGAAAATATCTTGGGCCCCCAACATCGCTATGGAAAACTCAAACTGGAAGCTACTTAGGGCAAACCTGCCTCCCATTCTATTCAAAGTCACTCCTCTGCTCACTGAGATAGATGCACATCTGATTTGCCCCCTTTGGAAAGGCGAATTAGAAACTCGGTTACAAAGAATATAACTGCTTGTATATCACCTATCTGTGACCTGGAAGCTCCCTCCCCTGCTTCCAATCATCCCGCTTTTGCTTCAAATCATCCCACCTTTCCAGACCGAACCAATGTGCTTCTTACATATATTGATTGATGTCTCATGTCTCCCTAAAATGTATAAAACCAAGCTGTGCCCTGACCACCTTGGCCACATGTCATCAGGACCTCCTGAAGCTGTGTCATGGGCTCATTCTCAACCTTGGCAAAATAAACTTTCTAAATTAATTGAGACATGTTCCAGATTTTCTGGGCTCACAACACACACTCCTGCCCAGAGAGCAGGACTGGATTCTAATTCCCCTCCTCTAATTGATATTGGCTCTGTAGTCTCTGTGGCCAGGTCTCACTCACCAATGCCAAAGTATGCCCAATACATCTTTCATTCCAAACTAAACATAAAGTATCAGTTTTACTTCTCCTTCTCCTCGAGGTAACATAATCATAAACTATTCTCTGTGAAATATTCCACAGGCTGACATCTGCTTTCTTTTCCTTATCTCCCAAAAGGAGGTGATCGTAAACATAGCTTCAAGAAATTTCTCATACAGCTGTTTCCATTACAGCACTACTTCTCTAGTTTCAGTCCTGAGGATGTTTGCTAGTGTCTATTTATATTCATGTTACCTAAGAAATAAATTTAAAAACAAATAAACATTATGTGATGGCAAAGTTCTAGGCATGATGTAAATCTCACCAAATTAATCCTGTTCACTAAGACTATCCCAAAATGGCTTCAGTCTTGTCCATTCTTTTTACATTATAGAGTTGTCTCGTAACAGCCACTAACTTTAAAGGATTTGCGTTCACTTTTTCCGAGGCCCCTTGCTGAAAACAGTAATAATTGTCTGCATTTTCTCAACAAAGCAGGTCTTTCTAAGGAAATTCTCTTTCAAAATCCAGACAAAGGAAATCCCTTCTACTTATGAAAGGGATTTGTGATTCTGGAACAGTGCCTGATAGTTCCAGAAAGTGTAACTCTAACTGGGCCCAGTGGCTCACACCTGTGATCCCAGCACTTTGGGAGGCCAAGGCAGGATGATTGCTTGAGCTCAGGAGTTCAAGACCAGCCTAGGCAATATAGTGAGACCTTGTCTCTACAAAACATAAAAAAAAATTAACTGGGTGTGATGGTACACACCTGTAGTCCTAGCTACTAGGGAGGCTGAGGTGGGAGGATTGTTTGATCCCAGGAGGTTGAGGCTGCAGTGAGCTGAGATCACACCACTGCACTCCAGCCTGGCTGACAGAGCAAAACTCTGTCTCAACAACAGCAACAAAAGTATAGCTCTTTTACTGAAACAACAACAATAAGTCAACCTGTCACTTGCAATTCAAACTGCCAGGAAATGCTAATAATTTGAACTGCCCAGTGTGCAATGCGTCTGTGTCACAGCATGTGACTGCAATGTTGCCTGTGGGGCAGGTTCATAAAGTCATGGTGAAGACACTCATTCTGGATTCACACTGATCTGGAATCCCAATCCAGGTCCACCAATTATGGTCTCTGTGAGCAAGTTACTTTTTTCCCAAAGACAAAATAAAATTAATTATATTACTTTCTTCATAGAGTCACGGTTAGGATTAACTGAGATAATTCACATTAAATCCCCAGCCCTGGCCTTGGCAAATAACAAGTGTGCAATAAATGTCAATTAATAAGTAAATGAGTTGACCTGGCAGCAGACATGGTGGTAAAGCAGGCTGGTGAGCCACACTTGGAGATGAACGAAAGTAATCCCTGTGCCATAGGAAACCAAGCCAGAATTCATGTTGCAGGTACGTAAAATGGCAGGGCATGCCCCACTTATCCAGTACATCCAAAAATGTTCCTGGCTAATTTTAAGAGTTACTCAATCAATGACAGACTTTAAGGATAATTGAATGTTCTTTGTTTCTCTTGGCAAAATCACAATTTGCAGAATTCTATTTGGCAAGAGACATAGTCCAAAGTTCTTTTCTTTTTTTAAGGAAAATTATTTCAATCACAAGAAGTAGATTGCATGGGACAACCTGTGAGAGTCCTTTCAGGTCAAAACATTCTACATCTCTAACAGCATTGTGCACTGGCATGGAACACATGGTAGAAGGAACGTTCCTGGGCTGTGGGGTTGGACAGACCCGAGCCTGGCCTCCTCCTCTGCATGCAGCTTGATCAAGGTCTATCCTTTCTCTGAGTCTCTCTCATCTGCATAAATGGGGAGAGTAATACCTACCTTAGAGGATTGTTGTGAGAATTAAATGAGAGTATTACATATAAAAGTGCCTGGGATAGTTCTAGGCACATGGTAGATAATGAATAAATGGGAATATTTCTACCTTGCTCTCCAAAGTCACTCAGCAGAGTTACCTGAGACTACGAACCTCCCAGGAGAGCTGTTTACTTAGGGAATTACAGCTGCGGGTGAGACTTTGCCATTTGAGTGTGTTCCCTGTGGGACATATCACTTAAATAGCCCGTTGAGACTTTTTTTTTTTTTAAGAGGAAACGGGTTGAAGAGGGTAAGTCAGTGGTGGAAACTTACGGGTTGGAATGTAGGCACTGGTTAGCTGGCTGCTTTGAGGACATCAGGCTACCCTATATTCCTCCATCCACCCGCCCATTCAATAAATTTTTATTGAACACAAATTCTGTGTTAGCATCAGGCTTGAGGCTAGGGATACAACAGTGAAGAATAAACAGTCCCTGCCCTTAAGAGTTCACAGTCCACTGGGAGAAACAGACAAGAACACAAGCAATTAAGATATAGCCCATTGTGGTCAACGCCAAGGGAGGGGAAGTATAGAATGCCATGGACATGATGAGAACAAGACATGTGCTTTAACTTGTACTATTTTCAATGTACTCAGTGAGGGGTGAGGAAAAACAGATGTTTAAACTATTTTTTTAAAGACTGATATATTAAACACTGGTACATCCATTACAACACTTAAAAAATAAAACACTACAAGGCTGGACACAGTGGCTCACCACTATAATCCCAAGCACTTTGGGAGGCCAAGTGAGGAGGATCACTTGAGGCCAAGAGTTCAAGACCAGCCTGGGCAACACAGGGAGAATTTATCTCTATTTAAAATTTAAAATTTTACAAATCAAGTCATAAACATTAGCTGGGCATGGTGGTGTGTGCCTGTGTTCCCAGCTACTTGGGAGGCTGAGGTGGGAGGATTATTTAAGCCCAGGAGTTTGAAGTTGCAGTGAGCTATGATGGTGCCACTGCCCTCCAGCCTGGGTGACAGAATGACACCGTTATCTCCAAAAAAAGAGTGTTATTTGCTTTGGTAGACCTGGAGCAGATTTTCATATCCAGTTATGTAAGCAGTTGGGTTTCCAGTGATGTTTTAATGCAGTCATTGGTGGACACACTCTGGGAAGCTCTGGCTATGAGAGCACATAAAGTCCGCCCCCTGCTCCGGACATGAGGTTTAAAAATCTTTCCACACCACTGGATGGAAATGTGGATGATTGGTAGAAATTACCCAACTAACGGTTAGAGGTGGAAAGGAGTGACGGCACTATTTCAGGCATAATAAGAAGTATCAGAAGTGAGAAAAAACATGGAATATTTGAGATACTAAATGGCACTTATTTAAATGACATCAATTGCTGGGGCATAGAATTGAAGTGGGAAGTGTCGACATACAAGCCAGAGGAGACAAATATAGGAGAAACTCTGTCAGAGACTGTCCCACACTACAGAATACATTTATGGAAAATAATTAGAGCATGCACAAGTGTGCAGAAACCTGTGGGTAGAAGTGTTAAATTAACGTAGAATTTAAATGAGTCAAAACTCTCGGTATAATTTTTCCTAACATTCCTCTACAATGCCCAAAATGTTCCATATTCTTCATTAATCATGTTCATTATTTATATAATAATGGAGCAAAATTCTCAAACTAAAGAATGATTGAGCTGGGCGTGGTGGCTCAAGCCTGTAATCCCAGCACTTTGGGAGGCTGAGGTGGGCAGATCACTTGAGCCCAGGAGTTCTAGACCAGCCTGGACAATATGGCGAAACTCTGTCTCTACTAAAAATACAAAAATTAGCCAGGACTGGCGGTGCGCACCTGTAATCCCAGCTACTCAGGAGCCTGAAGTGGGAGAATCCCTTGAACCCAGGAGGCAGAGGTTGCAGTGAGAGAGATTGCACCTCTGCATTCCAGCCTGAGCTACAGAGTGAGACTCTGTCTCAAAAAAAAAAAAAAAAGAGAGAGAGAGAGAATGATTAAGTGCATTTCTCCTTGTGACTCATGAAGAACAGTGCACTCACCCTCCTCACTGAGCAGGCGTCCTGTTTTACTGTGATAGGAAAATTCATGGCAGCACCACGCTGTGTGAGGTGAGTCTGCATCTAAACAGGAATATTGTGTCCGACTGGCGTGAAGGCCAATTGATTTTTGTTTCTGGAGTAGGACGGAGTTTGCCCCAGCAAGGGTTTGGGGCCTTCCTTGAGACACTGGCCCCACCACATGCCTGGAAAAGTCGGGAGCGGGAGCCTGGAAAGGAGACAGCAGGGACACTAGGAGCAGGTCAGAGGTGGGCTCCCTTCTTAGGGCAGATGATCAAAGGCCAAATGCAGCAAAGAGTTTCAGTCCAGTTTGAGACCTGCCACACCAGATCTGAACAGAAACGGACACCTCAAGTGCAGAGCACATAGACATGCACAGCTTCAGTCTCCTGAGTAGCTGGGATTACAGGCATGTGCCACCATGCCTGGCTAATTTTGTATTTTTAGTAGAGATGGGGTTTCTCCATGTTAGTCAGGCTGATCTCGAACTCCCAACGTCAGGTGATCTGCCCCCTCGGCCTCCCAAAGTGCTGGGATTACAGGCGTGAGCCACCGCTCTAGGCCAAGCAAATTGTTAATGCTATTAAAGGCACAGTACTGAATGAGATCACCAAGGACATGTGGTCAAAAGAGAAGACCAAGGTCCAATCTCTGAAACACTCCAACTTTAAGAGATTGGGGATAAGAGGAAGAACCAAAGGAGGCCAATAAGAAACCTCCAGTAAGATAAAAGGAAAATGAAGACATTGTGGTATCCTGAAAGTCAAGTGTAAAGTCTCAAGGAAGAGGAGTGGTAACTGCGTCAAATGCTGCTGATAGGTCAAATTGGAGATAAAAATTGACCATTTGATTTAGCAACATGGGGGTCACTGGTGATCTTGATAAAAGTAAATTTGGTGAAATAGCAGGGACACATGCTTTCTTGGCTACGTTAAGGAGCCACTGGCAGAAAAGAAATTGGAGGCAGCAGCACAGGTAGCTGGGCATCTTTTGAAAAATCACGATGCGGATGATACAGGGAATTCAACTGCCCAAAATGAAGCAAAGGAGACAAGAGATGGAAATGTCCCTCAGAGAGAAGCAGGCCTCAGGTAGCCCTTGAAGGTGAGAGATGGCAGCACAAAACCACAAGAATTATTCAAGAGACCCAGGAAGAAGGGGAGTTGGCAGGGTATGGCCTCCAACAGCAACACAGGAGTGCTGGCCTAGCACCCACTTCCTGGACTCAGCATAGTAGGAAGCCACGTGGGCTGTACACAGGAGAGTTGGTAAATTGTCCCCCAAGCACTTGGAAATACATTTCCTTTCTGAGATACAAACATATTACATTAACTGCTCAGAGATATGCAGTCGTCTCAGAGAGAAAAAATGGTTTTGAGGCCAGCAAGACTTGACCTGAGTGAGGGCATTAACAGAGCTAAAAAAAAAAATGTTGACACAAAACAAAAAGTAGAAGTAGTCCTCGATTTTCCCGCGTGCGTTACACAAACTACACTTTGACATATCACAAAGACAACTCAAGCCACCATTTCATAGGCTGCATGTGACCTTCCTTCCCTCAGGTTTCCAGGGGACACTTGAAGCTACCACAAGGTGGCGCTGCCTGCCATCCAATAGTTTATCAATGCCCTTTTTTACCGATTACTGAAATTATTTACATATTTTATTGCCTTTTTTCCTTATTATCTTATAAAATGAGCAAAAATTGGAAGTTATCATGAAGGAGAGAATCTACTGGCAAGGAGGCTCAAGTATCTAGTCTCTTTTGTTTTTACATTTCCTTTGTAAATTAATAAACTGTCATTCTTACTTAAATTTCAATCTCTGTGGAACTTCAATAGTGTAAGTCAACATCCCTAACTACAATCAACTGAATAAAATCACATACTGTCACCTGCAAGGTCAGACCCTGGACCATGGGAAGCCCATCAGGTTATCACTTTGTGAGTCTCTTGGCACATTTTTGGTTTTTCCTATTTGTACAACTCTCGTTTTTAGTCACTATGCACTTTTCCACTTGAAGTGGAAAATTCCACTTCATTGCAAACTCCAGTGCCTAGAAGGGCAAGCCAGTAGCCTAAATGAAGAAAGCAAGCCCTGGGCAAGAATACTGAGGAATATAGCAGGGAGTGGTGGGGACTGTGACAAAATGGAAAGCACATACCTTGTCTAAAGTGGGCTGACACTCAAGCATAGCCGCTTGTTGCCATATGCAAATAAGAGTTCTTTATTGCCAAATCTCTTTGTAAGAAAAAAAAAGGACTTTTATGTAAAATGTTATATTTTTGCAATATTAGCACCCCCCTCAAAAAAATACAATGAAGGCCAAACAAAACATATCTGTCAACCACCAGCTTGAGGCTTCAGTTGTGTAGTATTTATAGATTAGTACATATATAGCACGATTTTTTCTTAAAATATTTTAATCAAAATAATACATGAGCATGGATTTTGCAAAATAGCTTACAACAAAAGGCAATAATCCTTTGTTCCATTCCTTCCAGGACCCACCCCAAAAGTCTCACCACTACCTCTTGATTCATCAGTTGTAGACATTTGAAACACTATTTAATTACTATCATGATACATGAAGATTTAACTCATTTAAAGTTCATCATATTTTTTAGTTTCAACCATAGATGTCTTCAGCCTGAAAGCTGAGTCAGGCTGGGCATGGTGGCTCACGCCTATAATCCCAGCACTTTGGGAGGCCAAGGCAGGAGGATCGCTTGAGCCCCAAAGTTCAAGACCAGCCTGGGCAACACAGTGAGACCTAGTTTCACCTGAAAATCAAAAAAAATTAGCTGGCTGTGGTGCCTTGTGCCTGTAGTCCCAGCTACTCCAGAGGCTGAGGCGGGAGGATGGCTTGGGCTTGGGCTTGGGCTTGGGAGATCAAGGCTGCAGTGGGCAGTGGTGACGCCTCTGCACTCCAGCTTGTGTGACATAGCAAGGCCCTGTCTCAAAAAACGAAAACAAAAAACTGCTGAATCAATCAGCGTTTAGTCAAAATCACAACAGTTATTTGATCAGAGAAAATCTAATATAAAGACTTGTTAACTGTGTAAAATTTAACTGTGTATAAAATGTTTAACAGAAACTGTAAAAAAGACTCTAAAACAGGGTTTCTCAACCTTGACACTATTGGTGTCTTGAGCTGAATAACTGTTGTGGGTGCTGTCCTGTGCAATGTAGGATGTTTAGCAGTATCCCTGGCCTCCACCCAGTAGGTGCCAGTAGTATACCCCTCACCTCCACCAAATTGTGACAACCAAAAATCTCTCCTGGCCAGGCGCGGTTGTTCCCGCCTGTAATCCCAGCTTTTTGGGAGGCCGAGGTGGGAGGATCACCTGAGATCAGGAGTTCAAGACCAGCATGGTTAACGTGATGAAACCCTGTCTCTACTAAAAATACAAAAATTCACTGGGCATGGTGGCGAGCGCCTGTAATCTGAGCCACTCGGGAGGCTGAAGCCCAGGGAATCGCTTGAACCTGGGAGGCAGAGACTGCAGTGAGCCTAGATCACATCACTGCACTCCAGCCTGGGCGACAGAGCGAAACTACATCTCAAAAAAAAAAAAAAAAAAAAAAAAAAACAACTCCAGCTTTTGCCAAACGTCCCCTGGGAAGCAAACTTGCCACTGGTCAGGAATCACTGCCCTAAGGTAGGTATCACAAAAGAAACAAGGGTAGGAAGCAGCTACCACCCCTAGGGCTAGGGGAAGGAAGAGAAGGGACTGAAATTATTAAAACTTAGAAAAGTAGAAGAGGTGACATTTAACCCCTCAGACCCCTTCTGGGGTCTCAGCCTGCTTGGCTGGTGCTGGGGTCTCTAAGGCGGGCACCAGAAAGCTGGTTCTGCAGATGTTGGAAAAACTGGATTCCATGGCTACCAGAAAAAGGACCTGCAGGTTGCAGGCAGAAACAGCTTTGTGGTCTGATGCTCTCTGAAACAGAAGCCTACGGGGAGGAGGAAGTCCCTTCCCTCCTCCAGCCTTGCAGCCTCCCTCGAGTGCCCCCTGGAGGCAGAGCCTAGCAGCGAGCCAGCAGGCTGAGCAGAAACGCGGCTTCCGGAGTCCGAGCCTCAGCATCACAAAGCCGAGGTAGAAAATTGTCTGAAGCCAAAAGACTGGAACTGGTAGAAGGGCCAGGCTCTCTACTAAGGTCTCTCATTTATTACCCCATGTGATTCTCAAACTCTGACGTGCTTATCAGTCACCGGGAATGTGAGACAAAATTGGAAAAGTAAGCAAGAATAATGGAAGGTCATGGCAAGAAGTTTGAACTTCTTCCCAGGAACTAGAGAGCCATTGAAGGGCTTCAGCAGTTAAACTTCATTTATTTATTTATTTATTCTTTTTTTCTTTGTTTGTTTTGTTTTGTTTTGTTTTGAGACGGAGTCTCACTCAGTCGCCCAGGCTGGAGTGCAGTGGCTCCATCTCAGCTCACTGCAACCTCTGCCTCCTAGGTTCAAGCGATTCTCCTGCCTCAGTCTCCCGAGTAGCTGGGATTATAGGCGCCTGCCACCATGCCTGGCTAATTTTTTGTATTTTTAGTAGAGATGGGGGTTTCACCATGTTGGCCAGCTGGTCTTGAACTCCTGACCTCAAGTGATCGCCTGCCCTGGCCTCCCAAAGTGCTGGGATTACAGGCGTGAGCCACTGGGGCCAGCTAAGTTTTGTATTTTTAGTAGTGACGGGGTTTCGCCTTGTTGGTCAGGCTGATCTGGAACTCCTGACCTCAGGTGATCTGCCCGCCTTGGCCTCCCAAAGTGCTGAAATTACAGGCGTAAACCACTGCACCTCGCCCGCAGTTACACATATTTATAGACAACATATTGGATATTTTTTCCTGATGTCTGGTCTTATCCACTGTGAATTAACTCCTACTGGTTTTGCTGTCAGTGTAACCTTATTTCTAATCTTGGGGACATTTCTCTTGAGCCCTCTATGACTCTCATTCCCACAGAGTTAGTGGCTCCTTCCACTCGGCTCTTACAGCTTGCTGTATAGACCTTTCTGTCTTTGTTTCTGTTGTTTAAATGTCTACTTCTCTCACCAGACTGTTAATGCCTCAACAGGAATTGTGTTTTATTGATTTTTGTTTGCCCACATTGTAATCTAATAAGTGTTTCTTAAAAGCTTAATGGAAGGATGAACGAGCAGGAAGGCAAGAAGAAATAAAAATATAAATGTACTTGGAAACCTACACCTCCCAGTCACAGAATGATTTTTCAGATGATAAGGAAATATTTTTGAAATACAGAATTACCATTTAAAGAATAAATAAGTTAACCCTCTTTTAAATTTTATGTGGGTATCTCTGAATTGGTGAAAAATCTAAACACAAGAGAAGATTTTGTTAAGTGACAAAAATACAAACATTATAAGATGCTGCCAATGTTACACTTAATTTAGCTCCTTGAAAGGTGTGTCTATCCAAGTAACATACTCCACGACTCATACAGTAATAATTCTGGGTTGTAGATTAAGACTCTTTTGTTAGCTCCCTCAACTCAATCTTCCTTCCCTCCCTTATTTCTGACATTTCCCGCCGCCCCCACCCCGCCGCCCTCCCCCCCCGCCCCCCACCCCACCCGCCCTGAGTCTCTGTCTTGGCTTCCCCACTTTGGTGGAGGAGTCAATGTCTCCAGCCTTCCACTTTCCCTCACTATTGCTTTCATTTCTCCCTTACAATTCAGCATTTTTTTTTTTCCTGTAGCGATGGGGTCTTGCCATGTTGCCCAGACTGGTCTTGAACTCTTGGGCTCAAGCAATCCTGCCTCAGCCTCCCAAAGTTCTGGGATTACAAATGTGAGCCACCTCACCTGGGCCAGCTCAGCAATTCTTTTGTTGTTATTGTTGTTTTTTGTTTTGGGTTTTTTTGTTTGTTTTGAGATGGAGTTTCGCTCTTGTTGCCCAGGCTAGAGTGCAATGGTGTGACCTTGGCTCACTGCAACCTCCGCCTCCTGGGTTCAAGCAATTCTCCTGCCTCAGCCTCCTGAGTAGCTGGGATTACAGGCACCTGTCACCACGCCTGGCTAATTTTTGTATTTTGGTAGAGACAGGGTTTCACCATGTTGGTCAGGCTGGTCTCGAACTCCTAACCTCAGATGATCCACCCACCTCAGTCTCCCAAAGTGTTAGGATTACAGGCGTGAGCCATCACACCTGGCCCAGCTCAGCAATTCTTAACATTCTCCTGGCATCCCAGTCCCCTGGTTTCCACCAGATTGCCCCAGGCTCTGGCTGGCACTGGAACAATTAAATCCGCCACTAGGTTCGGGTATTGCCTTGAGAAAAGCATAGCTGTGGCATCAAGCAGATTGAGTCAAATCTTGCCTCTGCCACTTTCTTAGCTCTGTAACCTTTGGAAAGTTATCCAGCTTTGCCCTTTTTCTGTATCCTCTACTCTAAAGTAGTTAATAATGTCAGCATCGTGAGGTTGCTATGAAAATTAAAATATAAGTTACATGCAAAATATCAAGCATAGGCTGGGCGCAGTGGCTCACACCTGTAATCCCACCACTTTTGGAGGCCGAGGCAGGTGGATCACAAGGTCAGAAGTTTGAGACCAGCCTGGCCAACATGGTAAAATCCCATCTCTACTAAAAATACAAAAATTAGCCAGGAGTGGTGGTGAGTGCCTGTAATCCCAGCTACTCAGGAGGCTGAGGCAGGAGAATTGCCTGAACCCGGGAGACAAAGGTTGCAGTGAGCTGAGATCACGCCACTATACTCCAGCCTGGGTGACAGAGCAAGACTTCATATCAAAAAAAAAAAAAAAAGTCCAGACGTGGTGGCTCACACCTGTAATTCCAGCACTTTGCGTGGCCAAGGCAGGCTGATCACCTGAGGTCAGGAGTTTGAGACCAGCCTGACCAACATGGAGAAACCCTGTCTCTACTAAAAATACAAAACAAAAAACAAAAAACAAAATTAGCCGGGCGTGGTGGCACATGCCTGTAATTCCAGCTACTTGGGAGGCTGAGGCAGGAGAATCGTTTGAATCTGGGAGGCGGAGATTGCAGTGAGCCAAGTTGGCACCATTGCACTCCAGCCTGGGCAACAAAAGCAAAACTCTGTCTCAAAAAAAAAAAAAAATCAAGCATAATACCTTAGATGGGTTCCTGGATACTGACTAAGAGAGGGAGATGTGTGTGCAGGGGGATTTATTAGGGTTTGCCCTCAGAATCAACAGAATAGGGGAATGAAGAAATAGGAGTGGGCAGAGAGGAAAGTTGAACCGTGATGCAGTCACTCTGATGAGTCAAGAGAACCAATGACCCCACGTGGCTTAAATCAATGGGCAAGTTACCTTGTAACAGCCTTTGGCCCCCTTTGATCATTCCTCCTGGAATGCTTCCTTCATTCAGTTGGTTTCTAGGACCTCACACTCTCTTGGTTTTGCTTTTATCTCTCTGGTTCCTCCTTGATCTTTTTGGCTGGTCCCATCTTTTCTTCTCAACATCTTAATGTTACAGTGCCCCAGAGCTCAGCCTGGCCTCTTCTCAGTCCCTTGGTCATCTTGCCTAGCCTTGTAGCTTGAAATATACCATCTATTTGTCCTACAACTGCCAACTTTATATCTCCAGCCCAGACCTCTGCCCTAAACTCAGGGCTTGTATATCCAACGTCTTCTCTTTCTCTACTTGTATGTCTAATAAATAATTCAAACTTCAGTCTGCGCTTCCATCCCACACCACCTCTACCACCAAACCCACTCTATCTACAGTCTTCCCCATCTTAAATGATGGCAATCTCATCATTTCAGTTGCTTAGGCCCAAAATGTTGTGGTCACCTTTGACTCCCCTCTTCCTGTGGCGCTCCACACATAATCCATCAGGAAATACTACTGTAACCACTTTCAGAATATACCCAGAATCAGACCAATTTCATCACTAACCTTCTGGTCACTGTAGTTTCTCCCCTGAGTTATTGCTATTGCCTCTTAGCTGATTGTGTCAATCCTCTGCTCAGAATCTCTTAGTGACTGCCTACTTCTCTCAAATAAAGGCCAAAATACTTTCAGTAGCCTACAAGGCCCTCTGTGACCTTGCCCTTGGTTATCAGAGCGATCTTACCTTTTACTATCTTCTCCTTCATGCACCCCACTCCAGTTCTCTTATTGCTCCTGGAATATGACAAGCATGCCTGTGCCTCAGGGCCTTTGCACAGGCGTTCCCGCTATCGAAATGTTCTTCCCCAAATGTCTGTGTGGCTCAGCCCGTCATGCTTTTTGAGTCTGTTCACATATTATCCTCTCCATACAGCCTTCTCTGACAACCTAACTTAAAATTGCCATGCCACACCCCTCCTATCCCCAGCATTTTCAATCCCCCTTCCCTGCTTTACCTTGTCCTCACAGTCCTGATCACATTCAAACACACTAGATATCATAAATTATTTATTTACTGTATATTGTTTGTGTCCCGTATTTTGTTCACTGAACCCCAGCACCTAAACAAGGTCTAGTGCATAGTAGGGTTTAATCAGTAGTACTGAATGAATAAAAACAAGTTATATGCTTATGCTTAATGATTAAATTTCAATGCAATTATTTTTTCAGAGCCCATAATTTTAGTACTTTTATGGCATAGTGTAAACCTATGCACTGTGATTAGCTACTGTGCTTTTCATTAATGCATATCACTTCACTGAAAAATCACACAACCCTCTTCTGCAGATTTCAAAGTATCTGTCTTTTCTGAAAATGGTACAAGGGAAACTCCCATATCTGTACCTAAATATTGCCTGGAGTATAAATCATCATAACCAGCTTCACGTGACTCAAACACTGAAACAATGTGGCTGCACACAGGGTTGTGGGATCAGGTTACCATGGTAACCTCGACTCTCATCTTCTCTGAGCTTAATTGTTCAATTCTGAAATTGCATGCTCTTGAGGTTTAGCATGCTTCAACTCTGCCAGGCCTCAGCTGGCAGGAAATTAAGTTATGGTATTAGTGTTCATCATAATCATTTGTTAATGATCATTTATATTTAGGAATATGAGAAAATATAGAAAAAGTAGGGTATTTAGGAGGGCTTTTCAATCTACCAAACATGGCTTTAAGTATTGGTGCTGGTTTTGCATATTGTAAGAACACACTGTTTATATTCCTGGTCCCCAAAATGCACTTGCCACATACTTTCGGTCATATTTGTGTTTCAGGATGTAAGCTCACTGAACTGGCTTCCTTGGTCCTTTAGAAGACTAAACAAATAGGCTGGGCACCTATAAACAAATAGGCTCAAGCCTGTAATCCCAGCACTTTGGGAGGCTGAGGTGGGCAGATCACTAGAGATCAAAAATTCGAGACCAGCCTGGCCAACATGGTGAAACCCCGTCTCTACTAAGAAAATACAAAAATTAGTCAGGCTTGGTGACATGCACCTGTAGTCCCCGCTACTCAGGAGGCTGAAGCAGGAGAATTGCTTGAACCCAGCAGGTGGAGGTTGCAGTGAGCAGAGGTCGCACCACTGCACTCCAGGCTGGGTGACACAGCGAGACTCCACCTCAAAAAAAAAACAAAAAAGAAGACTAACCAAATAAAAAAGTTGTAGGAAAATGTACAATTGATGTAGTTTAAGTTGTGGGAAGTGAAAGGCCTAGTTATTAAAAAGAAAGTGAGCCAACAATAAATTCTCTAAATTTGTTTTACTTGAGAAAAGAAATATAATCTTAATTAAAAAAAATAAATCTGTAGTAGCTCAATTAATACAAATAAATGGAGACTTTCTTTACATAACCCTTTCCATTTTCAGAAACAATACTATAATCTTTATAACTAGGTTAATTTTTTTCACTAATAGAATACATTATCTCATTTTCTGGTTATATTTCTATACTCAAATCAAGGCTACAAGCTCCACACTTTGTCCTAGCCTTGATCTGAAACCTTAACAGATCCTGGGGGCCTGGATCAAGCCAACAACGGTGGGCAATAGAGGGGAGGGGAGCAGATTGGAAAACTGGTTATCTGGTGGAATCCATCTATAACTGAATACAAGGACGTCTTAGTCTGTTCCTACTGCTATCACAAAAAAATTTAGACTGGGTAATTTATAAACAACAAACATTTATTCCTGACAGTTCTGGAGAATGAGAAGTTAAAGATCAAGGCGGTGGCAGATTCAGTGTCTGGTAAGGGCCTGTCCTTTTTTTTTTTTTTTTGAGACAGAGTCTTGCTCTGTTACCCAGGCTGGAGTGCAGTGGCACGATCTCAGCTCACTGCAACCTCCTCCTCACAGGTTCAAGCAATTCTCCTGCCTCAGCCTCCTGAGTAGCTGGGATTACAGGTGTGTACCACCACACCTATCTAATTTTTGTATTTTTAATAGAGACAGGGTTTTCACCATGTTGGCCAGGGTGCTCTCAAACTCCTGACCTCAAATGATCCACCTGCCTTGGCCTCCCAAAGTGCTGGGATTACAGGCGTGAGCCACCGCGCCCAACTGGGCCTGTTCCTTATAGATGGCACTGTCTATGTATTGTCACATGGCAGAAGAGAAGGGCAAAAGGGGCCAACAAGCTCCCTCAGGTCGCTTTACAAAGACAGTAATCCTATTCACAAGGGCTTCACCCTTATGATATAGTCACCTCCCAAAGGTCCCACCTCTTAATAGCAACACAGCAGGGATGATTAGGTTGGTGCAAAAGTAATTGCGGTTCTGCCATTACTTTCAATGGCAAAAACCATGATTATTTTTGCACCAACCTAATAAATTTCAACGTACACATTTTGGAGGAACACAGACATTCAGACCACAACAGAGGGGTGAAGAGAAAAGTTTTTTGATCTTCAAATTTCCAGCATAAGTGAGCGGGTGGAATAGTGGCTTGACACTGTCAACCATTGCATTAGGATGTCTATTCTGAGAAGGCTTGTGCAAGAAGATGGAGATTCTATTTGTGGTTTGTGACCCAGTAGGGTGGAAAAGGTTAGTAGACAGATATGTGAAGCATTAAGATAAGAGGCTTGGACTAGAGCTATAGATGTGGGAGTGAACTAAGCCAGAAACAGCAGCCTTTCTGGTTTCAAGGATTGGTGAGAATGAGGACTGGGACTCAGGATAGGCTACTGTTTATCCTGCAAAAGATGTACACCAACAGAAAGTATGTGGAGGTGTGAATTGACATGGCTCCTTAGCCCCAAGTTCTGTGGTCGCAACAGTCCACAGGTGTGAGGAATCTGTAGGTCCTCACCTACAGAATGGTAGGCTCAGTCCACTCTCTTTTTTTATTTTGTTTTGTTTTTGAGATATGGTCTTGCTCTGTTGCCCAGGCTGAAATGCAGGTAGAAATCACAGCTCACTGTAGCCTCCCTGGCTCTCCTGAGTAGCCAAGACTATAAGCATGCACTACCATGCCTGACTAGTTTATTTTTTGAAGAGTTGGAGTCTTGCTATGTTGCCCAGGCTGGTCTCAAACTCCTGGCCTGAAGCAATCCTCCTCCCTCAGCCTCCCAAAGTGTTGGGATTACAGATATGAGCCACTGTGCCCAGCTCAGTCCACTATATTTTCTTCTGTTTTAGGCAGGGTTTGGGTTGCAGGTGGTAAAGAGAGGGGGAACGTTCAAATATCCAGCTTGTCTCTATATAAAGAAACTCTTGCCACACTGTAGTAACAGACTCCCAAATTTCATTTCTTGCTACACCGTTGGCTTATCTGACCTTTCAGTCTTCCCCCAAGGATTTATCAGGATACAATAGTGTGATCTGAAATGGCCCCTTATCAACTAAGTAGACCCTAAGATTAGGGAAACAAAAGTTACCTATAGGTTGAGGGATCAGGGCCAGGCTGGCATGGCAAATTTCTCAATTCCTACAGCTCCAAGAACAACCAAACTCTTGTTAAACTCTCTAATAATGGGAGCTATCAGGCCAATTATTAGACCCCTTCTAACTCTGATTTACAACCCAGACCACTGCAACTCTGATGGACAGAGGATTGGCCTTACAGAGATTCTTTCCTGATAAGCAACTGCGACCCTTAAGGCAGCTTCAGCCATCTTATAGAGGCTGCACCGTCTATTTTGTGTCCTATAGTTGAACTTTTGACAAAAGAGCCAAATTCCATCACATTTTAATGCTAAAATTCCACCCAAAAGTAATCATGGGATGTATGTTTTATATATATATATGTTTACCCATTGCTCATGCATTGCTCACAAATACGCATAGCTTTTCTCCCAAACCTGCTGGATATGTACGACTTCAGGCCCTGTAAGGTGTAAAACCCAACCTGCCCTTCCCCTCCTCAAAAAGAGAGCCCCCTTAGGTCCACACTGGAGACTTTCTCGTCCCAGTTGGCAAACTGATATGGCCAATACAGCTCTCCTTTCTACTATGTAGCCATCTGGGTTGTCTTTTGGGTGACAATAGTAATTGAGACTTTGGGCTTGAAGAAAATCTCTGTGGAAAGGTAGGTAAAGTGAGAAAGGAAACAGCCAGAGATGGGATCCTCTGGAACCCTAACATCTAGGAGCAGAAAGAGGGACTGCAGAGGGAACTTAGGTTTACAGAGAAATAGAAAGAAAAATGGGGGTGAGAGGAGGAAGTGGTGTTCCAGAAGTCAAGGGGTAAGAGTTTCAAGGAGGTAGAATGTTCAACTGTGTTCAATGCTGCAGAAAGCAATTAAATAGGGGGCAAGAAAGTCTATGAGTTTGGCAACTAGGAGGACACCATGACCTTGGCTAGACCAGTTTTATTCTTCCAAGCCTGAGAGCAATGCTTTACTGAGAAGAGCAGAGGTCAGGATGGGAGCTTGCTTGTGTTGAGTTGGCAAAAGAGGGGGTCACAGGATTCAAGAATTTTTCTCAGCCCAAAATATATAATTTGTTACATATATTATGTAATATATAATTTATATTGAAACTGTTGGTAGGTGTTAAATCACCAAGTAATTTATTGTCTACCCAGATGCACGGGGGTGAGAAGGGGAAGAGGATACACTGCAATTCTCAGTGCTTGCAGCAGGATAGTGAGTTTACAGGTATGTCCCCGCTTTTCTTCTTCTTTCTTACCCCCTCCTACTTCTTCAAATATTTAATCATATGCTTTTTTTAAAAAGAAAAAAAATTTAAACATAACAAAAATATATCTTGCAAGGTATTCATTGACAGTTACCCTATCGAATAAATTCATGAGAGCCCATTGTTTTGGACTAAGTTCCTGCACTAGGGCCCAGCAGACCAGACCAAACCAGCATGAAGTCAGTTGTGCTAAATGTGTCATAATCAAACTGAATTTTGAAATGGGCCAGTTTTCAAAAAGAAAAAATAATAAAATAAAATAAAACAGAGATTCACAGCAACCAATCAGAAGGGGCCCAGGTTACCAAAGGGCATGATAAGAAAGTTCCCTCTGTTTTGACTCTATAAGGAAGATAATCTTGAAATGACCAATCTGCTTCTTGTCCTTTGTTTCTGTTTTCTTCAGCTCTTGTCTGCCTAGAAAGCCAATGCCCTCTGCTAAGCTCAGCAGAACACTTACTCTATTTTATACAATGAGATGTTGCCCAATTCTAGAAGAGCAAATAAATGCTGATTAGATCTTTAAAGTAATTTTGTCTTTTGACACTTCAAATGAGTAAGGAATGACAAGAAAGTATTGTTTCCAATGTTATTTCAAATTTTCAGTTAGATATATTCCATTATAGTTGATCTGCATTTGAACATCAGAAGAAAGTATAGGCCGGGTGCAGTGGCTCACGCCTGTAATCCCAGCACTTTGGGAGGCTGAGGTGGGAGGATTGCTTGAGGCCAGGAGTTTGAGACCAGCTTGGCCAACATGGCGAAACCCTGTCTCTACCAAAAACACAAAAATTAGCCGGGCGTTGTGGCGCATGTCTGTAATCCCTACTACTTGGGAGGCTGAGGCAGGAGAATCTCTTGAACCTGGGAGGCATAGGTTACAGTGAGCTGAGATCATGCCACTGCACTCCAGCCTGGGAGACAGAGCAAGATTCTGTCTCAAAAAACGAAAAACAAAAAAAAAAAAAAAAAAGGAAAAAGAAGAAGGAGGAGGAGGAGGAGAAGAAAGTATAGGACACTGAAATCACCAACATGCGGATTTAAACCAGTAAACTCTTAATCCTAGCTGCATTTTAGACTCACCTAAAGAGCTTTGGAGAAAATATTGATAACCAGACCAATTCCATCAGAGTATCTGGGGCTGTAGCCCAAGCATGGGTATTTTTAATGTTCTCCAGGAGATTCTATGTGCACTCAGGGTTGAAAATAGCTGGATTAAGCTAGGTACATAACAGCATTGCGTCTGAAATTCATTGCATTGCATTTTCGTCTCCACTCCCCTATAGGGGTCAAGGCCCTATGTCCTCTCAAGGTTTGCTGAGAAATCGCTGACATGAGGTAGAATTGATTAGTAGGAGAAAAGGCATACAAATTTACTTCACGTGTATATAAGGTAGCCTTCAGAATGAGGACCCAACCCCCCCAGTGAGGTACAGAAGCTAATGTACCATCTTGAGGTTATAGAAAGAATGAAGGCTCAGAGCTCGGCCCAAAACAGGTTACGTTGGTAAATCAGGTTTTAGTGGCAGGATAGGTTACGAGAGGGAGAGGGGAAGAGGCTTGGCTAGCAAAGGGGTCCTCCTTATGTAGATGAAACCTCACAGGTAGCAGCCTGCAGAGAGAACAGATGATGTATGTTTCTTTTCAGACTTTTAAAGGTGTCAGTCTCTCAGCTGATCTCTCCTAGTTCTGGAAAAGGCCTAGAAAGGGAAGGCCTGGCTGCATCAATGGAGATTCTCTACAGATGCAAATTTTCCTCACAAAAGACAGCTTTGCAAGACACTTGGCTGGCCCTGTAGCAGCCACTTCAAAATATGTCAAAGAAATGTATTTTGGGGTAAAATTTTTTTATTTCCTTCACTCCCTTGCCAGGCCAGATCAAGCCACCCTGACACACTTTCAAAGCATCCTTTACTGTCCTGGCAGTCTCTAATTAATTCTGCATGTATTTGTGTGACTTTTCCATTAATATCTGCCTTCTCAACTGGTCAGATGGCATTATACCCAGCTCTAAGCACAGTGCCTGACACATAGCAAGTGCTCAATAAACATCTGTCAAATAAATAAACTGGTATCAAAATATTTACAGATGAGATGATGGCTATTGAGAGGCTTTTTTCCTCTTCAGATCAACTGAGGCAGGAGAATAGGGTCTGGAGGCAAGGAACATAAGGCCGATTCACGCTGACTTCCTAGAACTAAATCAAATGGAAATGCTTCGGCAATGACAGGAAGGTGAATGGCTTTGTAACTTCACTTCATCCTCTCCATTTACATAGGCTACACACACTGAGTAACATCTTCTCCATTTACATAGGGCGCATACTGAGTAAATGACTTTGTAACTGGACTTCATCCTCTTCATTTACATAGGGCATACACCAAGTAGCCAATGGGAGACCTCTAGAGGGTATTGAAACCCCAGAAAATTCTGTAACTGGGGCCCCTGAGCCACTTGCTTGGGCCCACTCCCATCCTGTGGCACGTGCTTTCATTTTCAATAAATCTCTGCTTTTGTTGCTTCATTCTTTCCTTGCTTTATTTGTGTGTTTTGTCCAATTCTTTGATCAGAACTCCAAGAATCTGGACACTGTCAACCAGTAACACAACCAGTTCTCTGATTCTCCAACACCAGCTTGAGTATGCCACAATTCAATTTGATTGTGGTGCCAGCTGTCTGGAGCTAGCTCAGACTTCGCAGGTTTAAGAGCTCAGTCACACAGACTGCACTCACTTCAGAGGCCAGTCACAAGGATCCAGTCTCCAGGTTATCCATACTCCTGTCTGAGTTGGCTACAAAGCTGGGGGTTCCTACAACCGCCTCCTTCAGGTTCCATAATTTGCTGGAATTGTAACCATAAGAAGTCTGTGCCTGATGCATACAGCAGGTCAATATGCTGAGACACCAGGTTGCAGCAGAGAAAGAGGTCTAATCATAGTGTAACCAAAACACAAGTTTAGTCTTTCGCTGCTTGTGAGGCAGGAGAATAGGGCCTGGAGCAAGGGAACTTAAGGGCTTTGTAGAACTAAATCATATAGAAACACTTCAGCTATGACAAGAAATATCCTCTTCATTTACAGACGGTATACACCAGGTAACCAATGGAAACCTCTAGAGGGTATTTAAACCCCAGAAAATTCTGTAACTGGGCTCTTGAGCCACTTGCTTAGGCGGCTCCCACCCTGTGGAGTGTGCTTTCATTTTCAATAAATCACTGCTTTTGTTGCTTCATTCTTTCCTTGCTTTGTTTGTGCATTTGTTCAATTCTTTTTTTTTTTTTTTTTTTTGAGACAGAGTCTCGCTCTGTCGCCCAGGCTGGAGTGCAGTGGCGCGATCCCAGCTCACTGCAACCTCTGCATCCTGGGTTCAAGCGATTTTCCTGCCTCAGCCTCCTGAGTAGCTGGGATTACAGGTGCCTGCCACCATGTCCGGCTAATTTTTGTATTTTTAGTAGAGACAGGGTTTCACCATGTTGGCCAGGCTGGGGTCTTGAACTCCTGATGTCAGGTGATCCACCCACCTTGGCCTCCCAAAGTGCTGGGATTACAGGCGTGAGCCACCGCGCCTGGCCTTGTTCAATTCTTTATTCAAAACGCCAAGAACCTGGACACCAGTAACACTTGCAGAGTCCAATTAATAAGATCAAGATTTGGTATAAAGTGAGTTTTTATTCCAGAGCTAGCTTAGGGAAAGAAGTACAGGCTTCCTGCTCTAAGGGCTCTGCTTTGCTTTTGGAGGAGAAAGTAGGCACTTTTAAAGGGGAGTGCCGGGAGTAGTGGCTCACGCCTGTAATCCCAATATTTTGGGAGGCCAAGGCAGGCAGATAGATCACTTGAGCCCAGGAGTTTGAGATCAGCCTGGACAACATGGCAAAACCCCTTCTCTACAAGAAGTTTAAAAATTAGCTGGGCATGGTGGCACGTGCCTGTAGTCTCGGCTACTCAGGAGGCTGAGGCAGGAGGATCATTTGAGCCTGGGAAGTTAAGGCTGCAGTGAGCTGTGATTGCGCCTGCACTCCAGTCTGGGTGACAGAATGAGACGTTCTGTCTCAAAGAATAATAATAATAAAATAAAAGGGAACTTGGCATGAATGGCACACAGGAAAGGGAAACGCAGGTTGGGGGGTCCACGTGACTGGCTTTAGTGCTTTATCCACAGGTGCCATTATGGGGAGAACAAGGTTGTATTTTTCGTTGTAAATTGATGGTTGTCTCTCAAGGCAATCTCCTGGTGAGAGACCGTTCTGCTCTGCAGCTTCTAAGCACACAGTTAGATAAGCTTGCCCTGCAGGGAGTGTCTGGTGAAGGGAAGGTAAAAGGTTATAATTGCATTTCTAAACAGCTAAGTAGGAAGTAGGGAATAGAAGAAAAAGGAGAAAACAGAAAATAAGAAATAAAAAAGAAAAACATAATAAAAACTCATTATCTTTCTCTTAGAAAAATGGGGGTACTCGGTTAAAATAGGGCCTCCAAACAAGGAGACGGGTGGAAACCTTGAGAGCTTGGGACTGTGGCTTTTAAGAGCTTTGGAGTGGGCTGAAGTATACAGATCATCGATTGGTTGAAGAGTTCAGGGCAAAGTCATGGGACAGAAACATGAAGAAGCAGTGTTCTCATGCTGGTTCTGTTCCTCTATGGGGGTCTTCAAACTGGTTGGCATCTGCTGTTTTGCGGGAATCCAGGATCTGAAAAACATCTTAAGCAATGCTTTTTTTTTTTTTTTTTTTTACTTTTTTTTTTTTTTTTTTTTTGAGATGGAGTCTCGCTCTGTGGCCCAGACTGGAGTACAATGGTGTGATCTTGGCTCACTGCAACCTCTGCCTCCTGGGTTCATTCAAGTGATTCTCCTGCCTCAGCCTCCCAAATACCTGGGATTATAGGCGCCCGTCACCATGCCCGACTAATTTTTGTATTTTTAGTAGAGACGGGGTTTCACCGTGTTGGCCAGGCTGGTCTCGAACTCCTGACCTCAGGTGATCCACCCGTCTCAGCTTCCCAAAGTGCTGGGATTACAGGCGTGAGCCACTGTGCCTGGCCTTAAGCAATTCCTAAACAAAAGCCTTGTGATTCTTATGTCAGAGAGCTTATCTACCTTAAACAAAATCCTTATGATTCTAACGTCAGAAATCCTGTCTATAGGAACAATGGGGATGCAGACGGTCAGTATATACTGCTATGTGATTTGGGGATTACCAGGAAGTAGATCAAAGTGCAACCTGATTAATACTTTATTATAACTGTGTTTCTGTCCAGAATTTTTGTTAGCTCATGACTTCAGAATGACTCCAAACTTAGGAAAGCACTCTACTGACTTTCACTTGTTTATAATAAAGGGTACAACTCAGGAACAGCCAAATGCAAGAAAGGCAAGTGCAAGATATGGGGCGGGTGGGGTATGTGAAGCTTCCATGCCCTCTCCCCAGAAGCACTCTCCCTGGAGGCTAGGGGTTATTATGGAGGTTTCATTTCTGTGGGCATGATTGATGAAATCATTGGTCATTGGTGATTAACTCAATCTCCAGCCCTTCTCTCTCCAGAGGTTTTTGGAGTGCAGGGTCCTGAAGCCACTTAAGATGAGCCCTCAGCTACCAGCCATTTTGTTCAGCATACAAAAACACTGATCACTCCAGATATTCCATTTTAGGAGCTTCATACATATTATACCTTTCAGGGAACAGTTTTGTTCCATCTTCCCTCCCACGGCAGGCCAGACTGGCCCGGGAGGAGAAATGGAGCCTTGGGCAGGACCGAGGCTGGAGAAAGCCAGGGCCAATGGGATACACACCCAGGAGAGGGCTCGCTGGGAAGCCAGGAAGAGTCTAAAAGCTGCAAATCCTAGAAATAAGAGTGAGAACAATAGGAGTGTGAGGTTTGCAAAGGAGGCGCAGGAAGCAAGTTCAGAGGGAGGTGTGAAGAGCTCCCACCCCCAGGGCTGAGAGCCTTTCACGAATGCCCAAGGCCAAGTTCTGAACAGGGGGATGTTAAGGGCACCTGTACTGTTCAGATGAGTTCCAAAAGGGCCCTTCCAATGCTGAGATTCTATGACACTTATTTACATAGTAACAGGTTTAAAAAAAAAAGAAAAGAAAGACTATGAAAAAGTACAAGGTTTCATTTTCATAAATAAAACAACCGTAATCACTGAATTGATGTTATGTTGGAAAGTTCTCTGCTTCTAGAATATGCACAACTAAGGGGAAAGATGGCTTGAGATAAATGATAAATATGATGCCTTATTTAAAGAACATCTTAAGTTTGTAACAGCTTCCAAAAATATAGTATGAAGAAATGTGTGTTATATAATCCTCATTTCTTAAATGACTCAGATACATGATTGATTTAGTATTTAACAGTGGTTCAACATTTCAAAGGTTGATTCTAAACACATTCACGTATTGCTGCAGATATTTCCTATCTAGATTCAAAGTCAGAACTCACTGAAGAATGCCAAGGACACATGAAGAACATCCCACAGCCTGTAAATTAAGGGACAGCTTGTCTTTACTTTCACACAGCCATTTACTTCTTTCATTTAAGACATTTGTCTGAGTTGGGTCATTTGGTACAAAACCTTGTAGATAATAGAAGAAATTAGCAAAAATATTAGAAATAAAGCTTTTAGAATTGTTTGAAAAGGGACAACAAATATAGAAAGTCATTTTTAAGTAAACAACTAGAAATAAGAATTCTAGGTAAATTTTTAAAAGGTAATAAACATCATTTTCTGAGACCTTCATTGTGCATAGTATATTTTTAATGTTGTGGAACTGAAGCCAAGATAGAATTTTACAATTTCTAACTGGCTCAAGAGAAATTGCTTCCATAAGGAAAGGTTTTCTCATTAGGTGTGAATTCTGTTTTTCAAAACGATTTAAAATTAAAGATGTGTATTAACAAAGCCAAACAGAAAAGATAGCAGGAGCAATTCTTTTAATCATTGGAAACACAGCAGTGCAAAGAGTGGACAGGCAATGTTAAGTTTACAATCCCTTAAAGTACCTTTAGTAGTATTCATTGCACACAGGAACGCACTCCTCCTAATATGACAGGCTTTCTCTCTCACCAAAACCTTTCATACTGGAGCAAATAACAAAATGGAGTGTGTCTTCCTTCTGCTAGAGTCCCCAGTCTGGTGTGAATATGGCTGACATTGTTTTCTGCTGGGAATGCAGGATGTCGTTCGACACGCAGTTGCACATCCCATCTCTGGCACTTCTGTCTGAGCCTGTTTCTTTGCTGCTGTCCAGGCCTTTCCCAAGATAGGAGCAACCATATCCCAGCTTGCTGCCTGCCCTGTCACTTTGCTGTTAGTGTCTCTGCCGTGCGACCAAGCTCCCATGTGGCTTCCCGAGCAGCTCCATTAGTATTCTCACTGTGACTGAGCCCACCGTAACGGGCAAAAGAAAATCACCAACTGCAAAGCCTGGAATACAGCTGTTCTGCACACATCTCTAGGTAACAGTCATCACAATTCAGTCCCCAAGCTGGACGTGATGGATGATAAATGAGTAACACAGATGCTGCTGTTACTTAGAGGCAGACCTGCAGAAGCAGGACAGAAGTCTTGGGCAAATACACAGCAGTAATTACTTATCTGCTACTTGATTGCTCTTACACAAAAGAAAAGCAGCTCTTCCTTGTGAAAGGAGACACCCAAACTTAGAGCTAGTTTGAGTCTTGGGTCTTCCCCTATCCCCCAGTTGGGTGATTCCTGGCAAGTTATAGTATCTTCATCTGTACTGAAGTCCAGGCTTGCTGGGAGAGTTCAGGGAGCCACTCCTGGAACTGAGGCAGGAGTTGCTTACACCTTTCTGGCCGCCTCTTGATGGGCAATGTCAAACAGCTTTAAATTCTTCCTCCCTGGTTCCAATAACTGGCAGATCGCCTAGTCCATAAGCCACAGGGTCCTGAACTCCACAGTTCTTTCCTAGCACCAGTTCTCATTACTGGACTTGGTGTCTATAGTATTCGTGAGTTAATTCGGGATATATTTAGGGTTCCCATTACACTCCAGGTACTGAGCAACACAGATACAGTCTCTGCACTCGTGGAAGTTACAAGTCAAAATAGAGAAACAGGCAATCCAATAATGATTTTTTTTTTTTTTTTTTTTTGAGACGAAGTCTCTTTCTGTTGCCCAGGCTGGAGTGCAGTGGGGTGATCTCGGCTTACTTCAAGCTCCGCCTCCCGGGTTCACACCATTCTCCTGCCTCAGCCTCCCGAGTAGCTGGGATTACAGGCGCCCGCCACTACAGCCAGCTAATTTTTTTGTAGTTTTTAGTACAGACGAGGTTTCACCATGTTAGCCAGGATGGTCTCTATCTCCTGACCTCGTGATCTGCCCGCCTCGGCCTCCCAAAATGCCGGGATTACAGGCGTGAGCCACCGCGCCAGCCCCAATAATGATATTAATAAATGAGTGACAAGCTGGGAAAAGTGTTATGAAAAAGAAGCACAGGGTGCTATTGGAATGAATGCCTGGGAGACCAGGGTTTCAAGGAAGGCTTTTCCAAGGAAATGACCCTTAGGCACAGAGTTGAAGAATGAGAAGGCATTAACTAGATGAAGGGAGGCTGGGAGAAAGGTGGCCAAAAGTATAGCATGAAGAAGTCAGAGAAAGCGGAGTAGCTGGCTTGGCCTGGAGACCATGTTTGGGATTTGAGTTCTGTCCTAAGAGTGATGGAAAATCACTGAAGGATTACAAGCAGGGTGATAGCAAAAATATATTTTTTTATTTTTATTTTTGAGATGGAGTCTCGCTCTGTCGCCAGGCGGGAGTGCAGTGGCGTGATCTCGGCTCACTGCAACCTCTGCCTCCTGGTTTCAAGTGATTCTCCTGCCTCAGCCTCCTGAGTAGCTGGGACTACAGGCACATGCTACCACTTCCAGCTAATTTTTGCATTTTTAGTAGAGACAGGGTTTCACCACATTGGCCAGAATGGTCTCAATCTCTTGACCTTCTGATCCACCTGCTTTGGCCTCCCAGAGTGCTGGGATTATAAGCATGAGCCACTGGGCCCAGCCCATAGATTTGCATTTTTAAAAACCCACAGTGGGGCCGGGTGTGGTAGCTCCTGGCTGTAATCCCTACACTTTGGGAGGCCTAGGCGGGTGGATCACTTAAAGTTGGAGGTTGAGACCAGCCTGGCCAACACGGTGAAACCCCTTTCTACTAAAAATGCAAAAATTAGCCAGGCATGGTGGTGTAACCCTGAAATCCCAGCTACTCGGGAGGCTGAGGCAGGAGAATTGCTTGAACCCAGGAGGCAGAGGTTGCAGTGAGCCGAGATCACACCACTGCATTCCAGCTTGGGCAACAGAGTGAGACCCTGTCTCAAAAAAAAAAAAAAAAAAAAAAAAAAAGGAAAAAGAAAACCCACAGGATATTGTGGGAATAATATATTGGACAGGTGAAAGAGTAGAAGGAGGCTATTGCCATGATCCGGGTAAGAGCTGATAAAAGCCTGGATGGGGGTGGTGACAATACACAACACAGTGCTGAATGCTGGGGCTACAGGGCAAAACAGGATGGACTCAGGCCCTTAATGGAGTTTATGGGGAAGACATTAAACTGGTATTCACAGCTAGGATGAGTACAGTGAGGGGTACAGAGCTCTGCAAGTGCTCTGAGCAAAAGTTCTAGAATATCCTTCTGGTACTCTATTGCCTCCTGGTCCTGGAGCCTGGCCTTGGAACAGCCCTTCCAAGAGTAAGCCCATGAATCCCAAGTAGTGGCTCACTGATAATCATCTGGATGGTGACTTCCATCCAGGTTTCTGAGTATCACTCTTTTTGGATTTCACCTCCTTAAAAAAGTGGGAACCTGCTAATGAAACCCTGCTCCAAAGAGTTAAAAAAACCAATGACTAACAAAAATTCTTACATTTACAGGAAGACAGATTAAAAAAAAAAAACAACAAAACACCCCACTTACTAAAACACTAAAACTCCTTCAGCTTATGAGATAACAAAACAGAATAAAATAAACTAGAACTGATGTAACTGACTGGAGTTTGCACAGCACAAGCTTGCTGATTTCACAGCCTAGATTTCTACCAGCTATTTCATGCCAACTCCTCCCAAATTTACATATGGGACTCATAAAAAGACATAAAAAGATAACTGTGCATGCCTGAAGACTTCCCAGACCTCCCTTTCCTTCTACCAATCACCTACCAATCCTAGAATCCACCCCCTAAACCTTCCTTAATAAAATTACTGCCTTAAAGCCAGCTTAGGAAAACAAATTTGAACTAGTCTACTGTCCCCTTGGGAGTTGACTTACAATAAAAAGCTTTTCTTTTCTCAAAAACCTGGCATCAAGTATTGACTTCTAGCACATTGGCCAGTGAGCCCCTTTTGCTTGATGACACTAAAACTGCCCAACGGGTTCTTCCCACCTGCTGCACAAATAAAGACCACAGCCTTGCAGTAAAGAAAATTTAATTGACTCGAGGTTGGCCATGCTACACTGCAGATAGGGATAGAGTTATTACTCAAATCAATCTCATCTCAGGCTCATAGGTTAGGGGTTTTTCAAAGGCAGTTTGGAAGAAGGGATTGGGGTGGCCATGCAATGGGTGTTTGCTGCTAATTGGTTGGGGAGGAGATGAAATATAGGGGGTTGAAGTTATCTTCTTGAGCTGAGTTGCTTCCGGGTGGGGCCGCAGGAGCAAAGTTGGCATGTCCAGGTGGAGCCATGGGTGTCAGACATGGAAAGAACCTGAAAAATATCTCAAAGGGCCAATCTTACACACTACAATAGTGATGCTATTTGCAGGAATGGCTGGCAATCATTTATGTCTACACCTTAGCAGAATTCAGGCTCCTCTCCTCTTAGCCTGTTGGTGGCCTTTCATTAGCTTAACCACATTGATTTTTTTTTTTTTTTTTTGAAACAGAGTCTCACTCTGTTGCCCAGGCTGGAGTGCAGTGGCACTATCTTGGCTCACTGCAACCTCCACCTCCCGGGTTCAAGCAATTCTCCTGTCTCAGCCTCCTGAGTAGCTGGGACTACAGGCCCTTGCCACCACGCCTGAATAATTTTTGTATTTTTAGTAGAGACGGGGCTTCACCGTATTGGTCAGGCTGGTCTCAAACTCCTGACCTCAGGTGATCTGCCTGCCTCAGCCTCCCAAAGTGCTGTGATTACAGGCCTGAGCCACTGCGCCCAGCTGACCACATTGAGTTTTGGGGAAAGACTATTATTAAATAGGCCTGATTATTTAATAATAGGCCTTGATTATTTAATAATAAACCATAGGTTATTTAAACTATAACCTAACTCAGTGGTCCCCAGCCTTTTTGGCATCAGGGACTGGTTTTATGGAAGACAATTTTTCCATGGAGAGTGGAGGGGATAGTTTCGGGATAATTCAAGTGCATTATATTTATTGTGTGCTTTATTTCTTTTATTATTACATTGTAATACATAATGAAATAATTATACAACTCACCGTAATGTAGAATCAGTGGAATCCTTAGCTTGTTTTCCTACAAATAGATGGGCTCATTTGGGGTGATGGGAGTCAGTGACAGATCATGAGGCATTAGACTCTCTTAAGGAGTGTGCAGCCTAGATCCCAGGTATGTGAGGGATACTCAGAACACAAGGGGGTTCACACTTCTATGAGAATCTAATGCCACTGCTGATCTGACAAGAGGTGGAGCTCAGGCGGTAACGGCGAGTGGCGTAAATATAGATGAAGTTTTGCTCTCTCACCCATCTCTCACCTCCTGCTGTGCAGCCTGGTTCCTAACAGGCCAGAGACTGGTGTGTGGCCCAGGGGCTGGGGACCCCTGACCTAAATGTCTTCCAAAGTTAGCTCAGCCTAAGATCAGGAATAATTAAGGCAGCTTGAAAGCTAAAGGCAAGGGAGGGGTGGGTTAGATCAGATCTCTTTCTCTGTCACAATTTTCTCACTGACACAATTTTTACAAAGGTGGTTTCAACACTGACTTTCCTTTTTTTTTTTTTCTTTGAGACAGAGTTTTGCTCTTGTTGCCCAGGCTGGAGTGCAATAGTGCAATCTCGGCCCACTGCAACCTTCGCCTCCTGGGTTCAAGCAATTCTCTTGCCTCAGCCTCCCAAGTAGCTAAGATTACAGGCACACGCTGCCATGCCCAGCTAATTTTTGGTATTTTTGGTAGAGACGGGGTTTCACCATGTTGGCCAGGCTGGTCTCGAACTCCTGACCTCAGGTGATCCATCCATCTCGGCCTCCCAAAGTGCTAGTATTACAGGTGTGAGCCACCACGCCCAGCAACACTGAGTTGCAATCTCTGTATGTTGATTCTCTCCTTTCCAAGCACAGGCCCAAACTAGAATCCACTGAATGCCCAAGCTTGCTGATTAGAAAAACTTCCACTATCAGCAGGTGCAACCAGATCAGCCTCCCCAGCACCTGACCCACCCCAGTGCCAAATACTCAACCTCCCAATCCTCTCCTGGTTAGATCCTTTCTTAGTCCCACGGGTTTCCAAGATACAAGTGCAACTTTCCTGTAGCTATGATGGAGAGGCACTTTTATTAAAAGTCCTTAATTTCCAGCACTGAAAACTTCTGAAAAATAGTGGAATTACACATTCTCATCTTAATAGATTATCAGTTTTGCTGAATTATTTTTATCATGGCAAGACTACTATAATAGCTTTGTTAATGTAAATAAAGTCAGAGAGGAGCTAGTACTTTTGAAAAGCACTTGTACCAAATATTTATTGCTATTCTTTTCTGAAATCAGTAACTTTCCAAAAAGAGTGGAACCACCATGGCTTTCATTTTGGGTTTCGGAGTGTGTGAGAAGAAAAAGAGATCCTGGTAAAAGTCCTGAACTCATGAACATAAACGATAATAAAGAAACAAAAAGAGAATTTTAGAATGGTGGTTAATTATGACTTTTCACATGTAAAATTCTACGTGATAGAGTGCATAATGGAAACAGTTGTGCGTGTTTAGTATTGTATTGCTGAATGATAATTTGCATTGATGATGTCCTCACATTAACCAATTCAAGCAAACTTAATAATGAGAAGCTTGAAGAGGAAAATAAGACTCTGGCTCAGTGGAATAATGATTAATTCACAATTGCAATTAACACCTCAGAAGGTCTCAACCAAGAAGCTAGCTGGATGTGCAGCAGTGATGTAATCAGACTGTTTACGTCTGGCTTGAACTGAATCAATGATATTGGTGGCAGGGTACAGACTTTATCTCCATTTTTAAAGAAATAGAAGACTTAGGTTTTCTGAACTAAGGTTTATGCAATGATTTGTCTTTACAACATATTTTAAAAGAAATTTTTATATAGAAGTGTATAAGAATATATACTCCTTCAAACACACACACACACACACACACACACACGCACCATCTCTTTTCTGATTTCTTCTGGAAACTGACAAAAGAAACATGAAGATCATAAATTATAATGTTGACTTCTGACTCTCCCTCTTATCTTCTGCACAACTGAAGAAAAATTCACTTAAATAACTTCTAGTCTGAATTAAAATTTGGTTTTTGTGTTCAAAAGCCAAAAATGTGCAGATGTTACTGAAACCACTGGTGTGTGACCAAAAGATTTTTCCACATTAAGCACAAAGAAAGGACTGTCCTTTGGTTGGTGATTACAACAGCTATTTATAGAGCCTGCCTCTGTAGTTTTGCTCCTGGATATCAATAAGGAGACCAGCTCTCAGTCTGATTATCTTTCACACCCTCATTCACATTGCCTTTCACACATTGGATAATCATCTGTCCTCAGGACAGACCACAAAGTCTTTACCTGACTTATTCAGGCATTCATAGCAACCAAATCAGATCACTCCAAGGCAAGGTAATCAATTCCTTAGTAGCTGGCTGCCACAGTGGCAAACTCCACCAAAAGATCAAGTTTTGGTTGATTTGGGTGAATGGCACTGGCAGAAGCCTTCTTGTTCTGGGAGAATCAGTATGGGATGGTAGGATAGGAGTTACCAAACTGGATTAGAATTTTTACTGAACCTCCTACCAGCTGGATGGCCTTGGACTGTTTCTCAGCCTCTTTGAGCATGACTTTACTTATCTGCAAAATAGATAGACAGTAAAACCTACTTTGTAGATTGTTGCAATGATTTGGGATTATCTATATAAAGTTCCATCACAGAGCCTGGCACACAGAAGGCACTCGGAAAAAGGTAGCTATTTTCTGAAACTCTCTCCTCTTCCAATCCGTCTTCTCACTGCTGTCAAATGATACCTTTCTCAAATGCTACTTTTATTTTGTTCTCTTCTATTGGCAGTCCTACCTGTCCTAATACACCTGTCGGGTCCATTCATCATCATACAAATGATTCTGGCTCCTCCTTGCCTAGGCTCCTTCCTTGGCCTGGAAAGTCCTCCACTTTTGCCTCCATCCATCCAAAACTGTCCCATGTTTACATGTTTCTTAACTCAGCCCAAGTCCTTCTTCCTTCAGGGGAAGCCTTATTAATTGACCTCCCCCACCATTAGGTAATGATACCGGGAGTCCACACCTCACAGTTGGTTATACAGAATTTCTTATGTGCTAATATTCTCACCAACAGATGGTAAGCTCCCTGGTACAACGGTAGTATCACAAACTATCTGTACCACAGTACTCAGTTTAATGTTGGCTGTATAACAGACGCTCACATTGTTGTTTGCAGACTCATTCACACAGCACTATCACCTTCGCATTGATTTTACTTGATGAGTAAGTACCTGGAATATCCATGCTTTCACTGGAGCCAGAACACAGCTTTGAATGAAATTAGAAGTCAAGTCAATTTTAAAATCTTTCTTAAAATTCAATGTAGAATCACAGAAACACTATTTTTTTATTTTTTGAGACAGGGTCTTGCTCTGTTACCCAGGCTGGAGTGCAGTGGTGTGATCACGACTCACTG
Source organism: Homo sapiens (assembly GCF_000001405.40). Taxonomy (NCBI): domain Eukaryota; kingdom Metazoa; phylum Chordata; class Mammalia; order Primates; family Hominidae; genus Homo; species Homo sapiens. The sequence goes on from NC_000012.12 coordinate 69,181,153, forward strand.
CAGCCTCAACCTCCTGGGGTCAAGCGATATTCCCACCTCAGCCTCCTGAGTAGCTGGGACCGCAGAGGTGTACCACCATGCCTGGCTAATTTTTAAATTTTATATAGTGACAGGATCTCCTTATGTTGCCCAGGCTGGTCTTTAACTTCTGGGTTCAAGGAATCCTCCTGCCTTGGCCTTCCAAAGTGCTGGGATTACAGGCATGAGCCACCACACTGGGCCAGAAACACCATTTTAAAGCTGTAAGTGTCCTGCAGAGTCATCTAAACTCGATCCACTTTATTTTATCATTGAAACAACAGAAAATCATGGAGATTGAATGATTTGCCTACCACAGTCAGTTCATGTGAGATCCAAAAGGGAAACTTGGAGCCCAGCACGGTGGCTCATGCCTGTAATGCTAAATATGTGGAGACTGAGGCAGGAGGATTACTGGATCCCAGTAGCTCAAGGCCAGCCTGGGCAACATAGCAAGATCCCATCTCTTTTAAAAAGTCGTTATCATTATTAAGATATTGTCATCTTTTCTGAGTGATTTTTAAATGTCACAGAAGGGCTACACTTAAATGCTGATGGCTTCACAGGCTAGCATCTATAGGAGAGAATTTAGAAAACTGACAGATGGATACTTTGCTGAGAAAGGATTTTGTAAAATAAACGTAGTTGCTCCTAATTATTCAGCAACTGCAGTTTCTTTTAGCTCCTAATAAATATCTAATTTGTAGGGCCAAAAAGTATTCTGGGAACTTGCTTGCTCCATTTATTTTTCTCTAACTGGAGCACCCTGAAGCCATCTAAGGCCTAAAATAAACAAACTTGACAAATAAATAAATAAATAAAAACTGGTGGGAATTCAGAGCTTCTTGCCTGCAATTCTTTCCTATCCTGGGAAAGAAAAGATTAACTACACAGATTAACTTTTAGAAATGGCTGATAGTGAAATGGGAGAGTTCCCTGACCACCCTCAAAGGACATGACACAGGGGTGTGGCTCGTCTCTTCAGCCGCCATGCACACTGAAACCTCTTACGGAAGGGGGAGCATACAGACATGCAGGTGCGGGAGCCGGGGCGAGCACCTCTGGTCTCTGGCCCCATGGCAGCATACAGGGGTGGGGGCCTGCCACTCCCAAAGCCCAAGTAGGCATGTGTTATAGTGGGCTTTTTCAGCCTTGCCATCTGCAGAGGGCTTAAGTGTTAAACAGCTCAGTGGACCCTCTGCCCTTTCACAAAGGCAGAGAGCCAGTGTGACAGCTTTCTGTATTCTGAGCACTTGTCTGGCATCCAGGAAAAATCAGGTCACACACGGATTTGAAGGATGAATGCAGGGGTTTTATTAAGTGGTGGAAGTGGCTCTCAGCAGGATGGATGGGGAGCTGGAAGGGGGATGGAGTGGGAAGATCATTTTCCCCTGGAGTTTGGCTATCCAGCAGCTGATCTCCTCTCTGACCATCCGTAGCGGAACTCCTCTCGATGTTCAGACACTTCTTCTCTTCTCTCCTTCTCTGTTGCTCTTCTGCTCTTCTGTTCATCTGCTTGTCTCCTTATGGAGCCTGGGGTTTGGGGTTTATATGGGTACATGATGGTGGGGGGTGTGGTGGGCCAAAATGCAACTTTTCGTCATGAAAACTGGAATGCCTGTTCCCATTTAGGGCCATGGGTTTCCAAGTTTGAGGGTGAGGTCTTTGCTGGGGAACTGCCCTCTTCTACCCAGTATTTCCCTGTCTCCTGTCCATATCAACAGTAAGTCTTCTACAAGGGTTTTGTTGTTTTAAAGGGATAGGATGTTTCTACAGCAATTGTTTTTTATCTAGTTTATGATATTTTAGAGCATTTCCAAAATCTCCAAATCAAATTAATTTTCATTTTCTTCATGGTTAAAAAAATCTTTGGTTTTAGCAAAAGAGTATGACAGAAGGATCTCAAAGTCAAACAACCCATTTGCTTAATTACAGCAATACTAAGGATTGCAGATGTGTATTGGCTGAATAAAGTTATGTAATATGGTGAATGCAGAACAGGGCACTGGGCAAGAGAGAGCACCAGGCTAAAGGCGGGGTTCTTGGAAGCTAAGATTGACAACATCTGTGGCTGATAAAAGTGAAAAGTAGGTAACAGTTCCTTGGTTGTAGATAATCCAGATTTGGTTGGAGAGCATTTATCTATGGTCAGTAACTACTGCATGGTCTGGAATTCTAGGAATTAAGTAGCAAGAAAAAGTGCTATTGCTGGAGAAATGGATGATGAGACTCCGATCCTGATGAGAAACATAGAGCCATGGCTTTCAATTTTGGCTCCTTGTTAGAATCATCTGGGAGTTGTTTTTTTAAAAATCATGATATCAGGCCCTGACCCAATGGACTCTGATTTAATTGGTCTGAGGTAGAGCCCAATCACTCTGTATATGTGTGTGTTGCTCTGTTTTGAAGTTTCTTAGATGATTTTATTGTATATCCAACATTGAGAACCACTGGCCAAGGTTAATTGCAGCTCTTAAGAATCAACATGCTTTTTTTTTTCTTTTTCTAGAATTGGCTTGACAAATTCTAAAGGGGCTGTAACTCTAAGAATCAACATGCTTTACCCTCATAGCTAGGTTCATTTAACTGCCACAATAGTCATTCTGTTATCAACCGGTTTATTCTGCCCTCACGCAACAAGTTAATCACTAAGACAACGGGTTTTGCAAAAGAGAGTTTATTCATGAGACAACCAAGCAAGGAGGGAGAATAGGTCTCAGATCTGCCTCACCAAAGATGTGGTTTTAGGGACATTTGTTGGATTGAGGAGCAAAGTGGTCCAAGGCTGAGGAAATGTTACAAGAGGAAAGAAAAAAATGAGGTAATCAGTGATCTATGCACATGTAGTCAAGCTTCATGGTTCTTCATAGAATGCATGTCCAGAAAATGGTGGCTTTAGCACAATGTGAGGGAGGAATTTTTGGCTTTCTGATGCCAAAAGGTCACTTATTGGGCATTTATGCAGAGTGGTCTCAGCCAGCTCGAACTGGCCAAGAACATCCCCCCTACTTCCTGAAAAACAACGTTTAGCAACCATTGCTATGAGTGGCCCACAGTCAGAGATGTTATTCATAAGGAAGCTGGTGTGGGTTTATTTATATATTGTTTAGCTCTGTGGCCTGCTAATGGGGGTTTTAAGACCAACTAGAAGTAAGTGTTTAAAAGCAATTGTTAATCAAGTTTAGCCTAATGCTGCCTCCTTACATATTTAAGTTTGCCGTGGAAGTTTTTTCTCTACATCATGAACTATAACAAGTGGAGATGTAAACAGATTGTAGCCCACACCTGTGTCAATCACTGAGTTTTGGTCAATGAATTGTAGTCAACTGTTCAAACCATGTACAAATCAGGCAAATGCCAACCTGCAACCAATCCAGCTGTTTCTGTACCTCACTTCCAATTTCTGTATGTCAGTTCCCTTTTTTGTCTATAAATCTTCCATCACATGGCTGCGGAGTCTCTCTGAATATGCTATGATTCTGGGATCTTCCTGATTTGCAAATTGTTCATTGCTCAACTAAACTCCTTTAAATTTAATTTGGCTGAAGTTTTTCTTTTAACACAAGGAAAGCAGGTTAAGTTTGGCAGGCTTAATCAGGTTAGCCCTCGGTTTCAATTCCTTCTCTAGTCCAGTCCCATTTCCAGGTAGTTAATTTAGTTAAATAAGTCAATATACAAATGCCATTGATTTCACTCTGACCTATGGTAAGGACCACCCTTAGACATGGGGAAACAGGGCCCTAAAAGTGGGCCCCACATTTCCTTTCCCTTTGGAGAACGATCTTTAAAATTTTCTAGTCCCCATTTGGTGCTTGAGACCTAAGTCTGGACCAGAATCTGCACGGGCCCTTGTCCCTGTTTTCCCTCTTTGGGGGTAATTTTCAACACTGTATCACACCCTCCACAAAACACTCCCCATCAAACTAGTTGGGGTCAACCGGATATCCTAAAGCACTCTGGGCCCTGTACCATTGGAGTCATCCTCATAGATGGCCCCAGTTCTAGGAGGGAAGACTGGTGAGTAATTAGCTTCACTGGTCAGCAGGCATTTTTTCCACCATGGGACCCTGTGAGATACAGCCCACAAAATGGTGGTGACACTGATTTGGGGTAACTCAGATTATTTATATAGACAGGGACTATACACCCAAGGGTGTCCTGCTCAAGAGAATCTTAACTCATTCACTTAAATTCTTGTATCTGCCTGAGTTTCCTATAGTTTCTCCTTTTCCCAATTACTCCCAAATAAAATGCTTTTTCATACCTCCCCAGGCTTTTGGCCCCATGGAAGTTCACTGAAAATCACTGACATGAAGCAGATTGATTAAATAGGAGAAAAGGCATACAAGTTTATTTCATGTGTATACACAGAAGCCTTCAGAATGAAGACCCGACACTCCAGTGAGATACAGAATCTAGTATCATCTTGAAATTGTAGAAAGGATGCAGGCTCAGAGCATGGCCCAAACAGGTCATGTTGGTAAATCAGGTTTTAGTGGCAAGACAGGTTATGAGTGGAAGAAAGGAAGAGGCTTGGCTAGCATAGGGGGTCTCCTTATGTAGATGAAACCTCACAAGTAGTAGCCCTCAGAGAGAAAAAATGATGAATGTTTCTTTTCAGACTTTTAAAGGTGTCAGTCTCTCAGCTGATCTCTCCTAGGTCCTGGAAAGGCCTAGAAAGGGAAGGCCAGCTACATTAATGGAGACTCTCTATAGTTGCAAATTTCCCCCATGAAAAAATAGGCTTGCAGGACCATTTCAAAATATGTCAAATAAATATATTTTGGGTAAAATATTTTCATTTCTTTTGTGAAAGGAAAATAAATATTGGGGTCTCCAAATCACTAAGTTAAAGGGAAAGGTCAAACTGGGAACTGCTTAGGGCAAACCTGCCTCCCATTCTATTCAAAGTCATCCCTCTGCTCACTAAGATAAATGCATAGCTGATTGCCTCCTTTGGAAAGGATAACCAGAAACTCAAAAGAATGCAATCATTTGTCTCTCACTTACCTAAGACCTGGAAGCCCCCTCCCTGCTTCAGTTGTCCCACCTTATGTGAGATGTACATCTTACATATATTGATTGATGTCTCATGTCTCCCTAAAATGTATAAAACCAAGCTATGCCCCAACCACCTTGGGCACATTTTCAGGACATCCTGAAGCTTTGTCACGGGTGTGTCTCCTCAACCTTGCCAAAATAAACTTTCTAGAATAACTGAGACCTGTCTCAGATATTCAGGGTTCACATTTTGGTAACCACAAAGGGACTCTGAGTGGAGGTGCCCCTGACCTTTGACAAATCTCCTATTGGTGCTTGGTACCAGCTTGAGCTATCTTTATGGCTCAAACCAATCAGACAATTTGCTGTGGCCTGGAAGCACCCACTCCAGAGAATCCCTGATCCTCCAAAATTTGGTCGAGATCTAAAGTTTATTTTGCTGTATGACTCCTTGTTTTGAAATTTTACTTGCTTCCAACACAAGGAAGGCAAGATTTTTCTGCTTCCATGATGAAGGAAGGTGTCATGCGCATCTGTGTGAAGAGACCACCAAACAGGCTTTGTGTGAGCAATAAAGCTTTTTAATCACCTGAGTGCAAGCGGGCTGAGTCCAAAAAGAGAGTCAGCAAAGGGTGACTTAAAGAAGCTGGAGAAGGTTTCAGGTTCCTTTTTGGGGAGAAACCTCTGTTTTTCTTCATGGAAACCCAAGAGTGTAAACAGAAAAGATCGTCTCAGCTCTTAAACTGCTTGCTTACCTGATTTACTGGCTAAAATAGTTATTGCAACAGAGGCTACTCTTGGGGTCTTTTTTTTTTTTTTGAGATGGAGTCTTGCTCTGTTGCCCAGGCTGGAGTGCAGTGGCATGATCTTGGCTCACTGCAACCTCTGCCTCCCGGGTTCAAGCGATTCTCCTGCCTCAACCTTCTCAGTAGCTGGGATTACAGGCACATGCCACTACACTCAGCTAATTTTTGTATTTTTAGTAGAGATGGGGTTTCACCATTTTGGCCAGGCTGGTCTCGAACTCCTGAACTCAAGTGATCCTCTTGCCTTGGCCTCCCAAAGTGCTGGGATTACAGGCATGAACCACTGCACCCAGACTTGCTATTCTTGGGTTCTTAAGGAAGAGTGTAGTTTAGACATTTAGAAGTGTTTTTGTACATTGTAAAAGTACACTGTAAAAGCATCACATGGTCTAGCCTTTTTGGATACCTAGGATTGCATATGGGCTCTCTCCAGTGCTCAGAGAACTAGTTAAAAGATAGGTGGTCCTAGCCAGGCATGATGGCTCATGCCTGTAATCCCAGCACTTTGGGAGGCCAAGGCAGGTGGATCATGAGGTCAGGAGTTTGAGACCAGCCTGACCAACGTGGTGAAACCCGTCTCTACTAAAAATACAAAAATTAGCCTGGCGTGGTGGGGCGCACCTGTAATCCCAGCTACTCAGGAGGCTGAAGCGGGAGAATCGCTTGAACCCAGGTGGAGAACGTTGCAGTGAGCTGAGATAGCACCACTGTACTCCAGCCTGGGCAACAGAGCAAGACTTCCTCTAAAAAAATAAAATAAAATAAAATAAAATAAAATAAAATAAAATAAAATAAAATAAAATAAAATAAAATAATAAAATAAAATAAAATAAAAAAATTGCTCTCCTCATACAATCCTATGATAGATGTCTATAATTTTATGTTTGCTTTTACATCCATCTTTAATCTCCCTCTAGCGTCACTAGACTTTTTCTCTCCGTACCTTGAGATGTACATTTTGCTAACTGATTTTTCATCCAAGGGTTGTTTCTTCAATATTCAGATTTAAGGCTATTTAGCTGACAACTGCCAGGGTAATGAAATAGGTTATCAAGAGTTTGTAAGTCTAAGACAGGGAAAAAAAGGAGGTCTTAGGAAACTACAAGATGTGCTTCTATCAGTATGCATTTATGTGTTGTGTACACAGTGCTTCACTACTAAAAATATATAAAATAGCTCTAGTTAATTGGCTTAAAGAAAAATAAAAGCACTTAAAACAAATACTTTATCAGAAAAAAGACTAGTCAAATGCTTTTTCAAGTTTATGTGACTTAAGTAAAATCTTTAATAAATAAGCTAGCATTAAAATTATTGGTAAAGTAATATTTTAAAATGTCTTAAGAATTGCCAGCATACATTTTTGTTTGCATTTATTGGTCAAGCAATTTCATACTTATCCCTGCCAAATACTATAATGTATCAAAATTTGGCATAAGGGTTACAAATCTATAAAACCAACCCAAAACAGAATGATCTTTGCTTGTGTAATTTTTAATAAATAAGACATTGATATTGGTTTAATGAAAATAGCTGTGTCCCGAATTATTTAGTAAAATTACCATAACTTCTAATCTTGTGGTTTTAGGCAGTGTAGTCCACAGGCAGTAAAGAGGTTGTTTTGGGAAAGAACTGTTATTGTCTTTGTTTCAAAGCTAAACTATAAACAAAGTTACTCCTAAAGTTAGCCCGGCCTACACCCAGGAATGAACAAGAACAGCTTGGAGGTTAGAAGCAAGATGGAGTCAGTTAGGTTATATCTTTTTCACTGTCTCAGTTACAATTTTGCAATGATGAGTTTCATAACTTTAAATATTGACTATCACAGTTTTCATAAATAATCTAGATAAATGATTAAAATAATTAGCTAAATGTAATGGGATAAATACATGTAGACAAACTTGTCATAATTTAGAATATAAAGTTATATTCAATTAAATAATGGATATTTTATTATTTGAGTATTTTCCAATAAAAATACATTGTAGGAAAACATTCTTTCTTTTTTTTTTTTTTTTGAGACAGAGTCTTGCTCTGTTACCCAGGCTGGAATGCAGCACTGTGGTCTTGGCTCACTGCAAGCTCCACCTCCCAGGTTCAAGCCATTCTCCTGCCTCAGCCTCCCGAGTAGCTGAGACTACAGGCGCCTGCCACCACACTTGGCTAATTTTTTGTATTTTTAGTAGAGATGGGGTTTCACTATGTTAGCCAGGATGGTCTCGATCTCCTGACTTTGTGATCCACCTGCCTCGGCCTCCCAAAGTGCTTCCTGGCCAGTGAAAACATTCTTTCTAAGAAAAAAAGTGTTCTTTTTAAAAAGGTGAACAATTTTTGTCTAATTCAAAGCTTATTTAAAAGTTATATTGAAACAAGGTAAAAGGAACTAGGAAATAAGAGAGAATAAAGAACGTTATAAAAATAAAGAGGTATTTTCTGGTAAGAAAGCTTAAAGAAAAATAATTTTATATGAGAAAGAATCTCGTATGGTAAATTTAGTCCTAGAATAAAATGACCAGTTATTTAAGAAAGAGGGATGTTCAGGACAAACCAGAAAGTCCAAGCATGTCATGAATGATCTGTGTAAGTCACCATAAGAGGATTTATTTTTTTTAAAAAACTTTTCTATGATCAAGTTGTCTGTAATTAAAGGGAAATTATAACGGTATTTCTAGAGATTTGGTTGGACATTAAAAAAGTATACACTAAGGAATTGATTAGAACAATAAAATTTTCTTAAGGGACTGATTTACTCTTAATAAATTACAGGAGATATTAATTTTTTTAACCCAAAGTTCAACTTTTATTTCATCAAAATTATTTTCGGTTTGCTCTCCCCTTTCAAAAGGCATGAAATAATAACACTCTCCTTCAACTCATTTTAAGCCCATATAAGCTTTTTTTCCCTCAAGTTCTGTTTGTTGTGGCCTGATGCTAACAATGTTTTCTTAAAGGTCTAAAGGAAATGTTTTCCTCCAACATAATATTCTGTGCACTTCAGAAGGTCTTTTCTTTTGTCTTTTGGTAACTGACCTAACAGATTATACATTTTATCAAAATAATTCCTATGCCATTATTATTAAGTTTTGGTTTGCTTAGAAAAAAATTGAGATTAAAAACATTTCCTTAAATTAAGGTTGTACATTCATGTATCTTTCTATATGTGCTTTTAAAGTCCTTGTGACATTGAGTCACAGGGCTTTCACTCCTGGGTCTAAAAAGGATGCCAAGTCCTGCTAAATCTTGAACACTGACAGCAATTTAAGCCTCATTTTCAGGCCCAGTAGAAGATGGCAATCAAAATAAACTGCATTCCTGAGGCACAATGCCAGACATTAAAGCTATTTAACTCCTCAAGGCCCAGGGACTATTGCAGAAGAGGTAGGTGTGTGAGATTGTAAGGGCAAATTTTTAGAGATAAAATAAGTTCTGTTTCTCTGTAAATTAAACATTAATGCCAAAGGCACACTGATGCAAGACCAGCATATAGGCCCCCTGTGGCAGATTAACAAGGTTTTCCTGAAGTATTAACCCACTCCTTAATAAAGGTTATAAAGTTTATAAAAGGCTTATGGAAGTTACATCTTATGGTCAAGATTAAAATTTTATAGATTGTTTATAAACTTTTGGAAAACAAATTGAATTGGCTTCATGGTGTTTTTATTAGGACTTATTGTTTAGAAAATTAAGTCTCGTCTTTCAAAGAATGAAAGTTTTTTCTTGAAGAATGAAGCCTTTCTTGAAATCCTTGAGTTATCACTTTGGTTAAATGAATGATTTGTTTTACATTTTGTAAAATAAGTATCACAAAAACCTATTTTGTGATATCAAGTGTTTTAAACCTCTGATATTTGACAAGCTTTCCAAAATCAAATTATAAATTATGTCTTTTTCCTACCTAATTAATCCTTAAAATATTAGCTTCCCCAAAGTCCAAAAATGACATATTTGGCTTATTTGGCCTAAAAACTATACAGAAAGCATTGTTAAATATGAAATGGTGTTTGGTTTTCTTTGGGCTGTATTTGTATAAATATGTTATTGTTATGTGTTCCAAAATTATGGGAAACTCCTATAATTCTGATATGACTTTGTGTACATTATCAGTAATAATTATAATTGTTACATTAAATTATTTGTGCCACAGAGGTAACACATTTTCTTGTCAATTGTGTCTTTGACTATGGCTACCTTAAAGCTTTTTGTCATCCATAGACAATTGTCTTGTTTTGGTCCTCTTTAGAAGGTAGTTTTATAATCAGCTATAGAACTCTAACAGGCTCTCTTGAATGCAGGTTTCTGATAACTTTGTAGATTGTGACATCAGAATAGAGGAAAACTTTCAGGACTCATGGAGAGCTGAAATGTTCATGAATATCAAGCAGAAGAGGAATTAACTACATGGACTGAACTAATAGAAGACTAAAGTAATCTTTTTGACTTTCTGCTTAAAACATTGCTGATTATTTGTTTTGTTTTTCAGTGTCAAGGAAACTTTTCTTTGAGCTATTGACAGCTTTTAATAATTAGGTGTACTTCTATGAACAAAATTTGGAGCACATTTATTTCTCTCCACCCAATTTCTCCAGAATTTGGAAACTATTTGTAAGTATTCTTAACTTACAGCAATATAGTTTTTTGCATAAGTGCAATAAGAATCTGTTTTCATTTGTAACAGGACACAATTGGAGAAACTGGTTATTTTACAAGGGCTTTGACTAAACAGGTGTGGTTCCTTTAAAGAAACAAACTTGACTTACAGAGCCAATAAAAGCCTCTTGGGAAAACTGGCCTCATCTTGGGGTCACCAAATCACTAAGCTAAAGGGAAAAGTCAAGCTGGGAACTGCTTAGGGCAAACCTGCCTCCCATTCTATTCAAAGTCATCCCTCTGCTCACTGAGATAAATGCATATCTGATTGCCTCCTTTGGAAAGGATAATCAGAAACTCAAAAGAATGAAACCATTTTTCTCTCACTTACCTATGACGTGGAAGCTCCCTCCCTGCTTGAATTGTCCCACCTTATTGGACAGAACCAATGTATAACTTGTATATATATATTGGTTGAGGTCTCATGTCTCCCTAAAATGTATAAAACCAAGCTGTGCCCCAACCACCTTGGGCACATGTTGTCAGGACCTCCTGAGGCTATGCCACAGGCTTGTGTCCTCAACCTTGGCAAAATAAACTTTCTAGAATAACTGAGACCTGTCTCAGATATTCAGTGTTCACACCATCATCACTCTCTGTAGAGTCTTTCTTGCTTCTAAATTCCATTGTCGTAATGATTGAGATGCTAATCTCAGCTGATGAATATCTTTTCTTTCTTTCCCCTCATCCCCATGCCATGTTGTCTAGGAATGATGAATATGTTGAATGGGCAGCTGCATACAAAGACCCCTCCATTTAAGTGATTTAAGTCCAGTTGGTTGCCTGTCTTGAGTTCCAGTAATCAAGGATCCTGGATTCAGTATAAATATTTGGCTGGTGATATTTCCATACTCTTTTTTCCCTTCCCACTTATTCAAATTCTTTCTCCCATGTACACCCATGTCCCGAATTCAGTCTTAAGTAGCTATCCTACTTCCTTGTTTCCATGTTCCAACTTGTAGTCTTAACTGTGAATCTGCTTATGTTCTTATAATCTTCAGTTTGCAATGATTGTCCCCATCAAAAACCACTAATTACGATAGATGCTATAAAACAGATAGAGCAGGAAAAAACATCAGGATGTGGGCCAGGGACAGTGGGTCACATCTGTAATCCCAGCCCTTCTGGAGGCCAAGGCAGGTGGATCATGAAGTCAGGAGTTCAAGCCAGCCTGGCCAAGATGGTGAAACCCCATCTCTACTAAAAACACAAAAATTAGCCAGATGTGGTGGCAGGTGCCTATAATCCCGGCTACTCAGAAGGCTGAGGCAGAGAATCCCTTGAACCTGGGAGGCGGAGGTTTCAGTGAGCCAATATCGCACCACTGCACTGCAGCCTGGGTGACAGAGCAAGACTCCATCTAAAAAAATTAATAAATAATAAAATTTTAAAACGCAAATAAAAATCACAATGTGGATAGTCCCAGATTTGCACATGCAGGTATTAGAGGAGCTATAGCTGGTTAAAAACAATATAGGCCAGGCACATTGGCCGACGCCTGTAATTCCAGCACTTTGGGAGGCCAAGCTGGGCAGATCACCTGAAGTCGGGAGTTTAAGATCAGCCTGACAAACATGGAGAAACCCCATCTCCACTAAAAGTACAAAATTAGCTGGGCAAGGTGGCACATGCCTGTAATCCCAGCTACTTGGGAGGCTTAGACAGGAGAATTGCTTGAACCAGGGAGGCGGAGGTTGTGGTGAGCCAAGATCGTGCCATTGTACTCCAGCCTGGGCAACAAGAGCGAAAATCCATCTCAATAAATAAATAAATAAATAAATAAATAAATAAATAAATAAATAAATAAAATCTGCTGAAGTTATGGCCAAAGATGATGATGATGGCAGCTAACAATTATTAGGCATTTACTCAAAAATAATTTTTTTTTTTTGAGACAGAGTCTCACTCTGTGGTCCAGGCTGGAGTGCAGTGGTGCGATCTCAGCTCACTGCAAGCTCCACCTCCCGGGTTCACGCCATTCTCCTGCCTCAGCCTCCCAAGTGGCTAGGACTACAGGCGACCACTACCACACCCAGCTAATTTTTTGTATTTTTAGTAGAGACAGGGTTTCACCATGTTAGCCAGGATGGTCTCCATCTCCTGACCTCGTGATCCCCCTGCCTCGGACTCCCAAAGTGCTGGGATTACAGGCGTGAGCCACCGTGCCTGGCCTCAAAAATAATTTTTAACACTTAAACCAAATCTTAGTATTTATTAAGTGCTTACCATATTCCAGGCAAAACCACACTATAAACTGGGCATTTAATTGTAATATTCCTTTTTCAGATGCAGTAAATAACGCACAGAGAGCCTAAGTAACTTGCCCATGGTCACATAGCTAGCAAATTGGTAGTAGAGCAGAAGTAGAACCAGGTCCGTATGACACAGGGCCTTGTCTGTTAACCACCTTATAATTCAGTAATTGCCTCACTGCCTCCTGATGGGTTTTGCCCATCAGGCAAAATAATTCTGAATATTTGAAAACTGACATTATCCTTTGCTTCATAAGTATGCAAACCCCTAGGGTCAGTAAGGATTCTCAATCAGGAAAAAGTCAATACATATAAAAATATATACAGCAATATATATGTGAGAGGCATTTGAACCAGAGCAACTTAATCTTGAATAGGGACTGGGTTAAATAAGGCTGAGACCTACTGGGCTGCATTCCCAGATGACTGGGCATTCTAAGTCACAGAATGAAATAGGAGATCATTACAAGATACAGATCATAAAGACCTTGCTGATGAAATAGATTATAGTAAAGAAGCTGGCCAAAACCCACCAAACCAAGATGGTGACAAAAGTGATTTCTGGTTGTCTTCACTGCTACACTCCCACCAGTGCCATGACAGTTTACAAATGTCATGGCAACATCAGGAAGTTACCCTATACTGTCTAAAAGGGGAGGCATGAATAATCCACCCCTTGTTTAGCATATAATCAAGAAATAACCATAAAAATGGGCAACCACCAGCCCTCAAGGCTGCTCTGTTTGTGGAGTAGCCATTCTTTATTCCTTTATTTTCTTGTAAGCTTGCTTTCACTTTACCATATGGATTTGCCTCGAATTCTTTCTTGTGCAAGATCCAAGAACTCTCTCTTGGGGTCTGGATCGGGACCCTTTTCTGGTAACATATACAGAAAAAGTGAAACAGAAGTATGTATTTAACTAAGAAAATTTCTGATAAGCACTATTTCTCTTACTATTATTTAGTAATAAATTCATATTAATAATCAATTATTTATTTTAAATATTAAATTTATTTGTATGTCAGATGTGTCAACAAAAAGAGTCAAACTCTGTAAAATATTTGAAGATATTTATTCTGAGTAAAATGTGAGTGACCAATGGCCCGTGACATAGCCCCAGGAAAGCCTAACAACATATGCCCAAAGTGGTCAGGCTGCAGCATGGTTTTTATACATCTTAGCAAGACAGTTTGAGCTTAAGAGATCTATCCACCTCGGTTTCTCAAAGTGCTGGGATGACAGGCATGCCCCACCGCGCCTGGCCTCAGGTTTGCTTTATGCCGTTGGCCAAGAGAAGGGGTCCATTCAATTGGTTAGGGGGCTTAGGAATTTATTTTTGATTTACAGATATTTTATTTTTCTGGCAATTAACATCTGTTTAAAATGAGGTTCCTAATTGCTATCCTGGTAAGCTTACTTTTGAGGAAGAAGCTCAGAATGATGTTCTGGTATATTCCTATTTTCTATTTTTCTTTCCATTCACTCCCTCACATTGCCCCCTCATTTGAGATTAATTTCAAAATTAATCAAAATTTATCTAAATTCTATGATCAAGTAGCTGTTGACAAAACGAGTCAAACTCTGTAAAATATTTTTAGAGATTTATTCTGAGCCAAAGATGAGTGACCATGGCCTGTAACACAGCCCTCGAGAGCTCCTGAGAACATGTGCCCAAGGTGGTTGGGGTACATCTTGGTTTTATATATTTTAGGGAGGCATGAGACATCAATCAAATACATTTATGAAATACATTGGTTTGGTTCATAAAGGTGGGACAAATAAAAGCTGGGAGGGCAGTGCTTCCAGTCTATAGGTAAATTTAAACATTTTCTCATTGACAATTGGTTGAGTTTGTCAAAGACCTGGGATGATAGAAGGGAAATGATCAGGTTAAGATAAAAGATTGTGGAGACCAAGGTTCTTTTGAAGTCTTATAGTGGCTGCCCTTAGAGACAATAGATGACAAATGTTTCCTATTCAGATCTTTAAAAGGTGCAAGACTTTTAGTTAATCTTTTCAGGATTGGGAGGGCTTGGAAGAAAAAGATCTAGCTATGTTAATAGAGATTCTTTACAGATACAGATTTTCCCCCACAAAGAACGGCTTTGCAGGGCCATTTCAAGATATGGCAGAGAAACATGTTTTGGGGTAAAATATTTTGATTTTCTTCCTTGTTATACCCAAGTCAGATTGGAAAGTAAGTCACAATATACATGGTTAAATAAAACCCATCTGATGAGAACTGATAGTTTGTAGGGCATGATGCCCCAGACCCCTTAGATAGGAATGTGGGCAAGATTTGAAAAATCAGAGCTCAGTCCTAGTAGCAATGGAAAAAAGTGATGTTTCCAGGTCTGAAAACCTGATATTGACCTTCTGGCCTGTGGTAGCACATCCAATCTAAGGCAAGCTCCCTCCATGATTTATTCATATGATTTAAGGTTTCCTAGGAATTGCCATTACTGAGAAGTTAGGAGTTTCTGTTATTTTTTTCTATCTAAAAACTTCTATGATGGAGTATTTATAAGGAGGAGATTTTCACTAAAGAATAACATTCAGTTTTAGATGATTTAGATTTAGATTTTAGATGATGTCATTTGTTTAGTAACATGAATCAGCACAAGAATCAGTCTGGACATCATACAGAGAATAAGAAAATGAGCTGTTTTCCCCATATAGGAACATCGTGCCAACAGGACCACAATCTTTTCATGGCTGATACCTGATGGTTGAGTAAAGTGTCTAAAGGCATAGCCTGATTATTTCTAAATTAAATGGAATTTATATTATTTTATGTTTCAAGGACTCTGATGGATTCTTTTCAAGTTGTTTTTGATTGATCTATCATTTGAGAAGGACAATTTTATACACTTCTGGGCTTCTGGCCAACATTTTGACAAGCTGACAACAATTCAAATTTGACTTTGGCATTAGTTTCTAAGAAGACTTTCCTTGCTCTAACTCTAAATGCACCCTACGTCTCTCACTGCCCTCTGTTGGCTGGAACAAGAGGTGCTGGCTCAGGTGGAATTGCTTTATCGGTAACCTAAGATCTGTTTCTAGTGGTAAATGTGCAAGACACTTTGCTCATTAGAGGTTACCCTCCAGAATAGTTTGACCTTAAGTATCTTAAATTTAATCTACATTTTAGCAGATGTAAGAATAATTGGCATCCATCGTGTATAATAATATGGTGGTGTGTGAAGACTATAGACTTTGCAGACAGACATCCTGTTACTGTATGTAACAAGTGATAATTCATCCCTAACTCTTCCCTTACTCAGCTTACCTGGGTCATTGCAGAAAGGAAAGAAACAGTGTTTGCAAAGCACCTTACATAGTTTCTAGGAGAGATGTAGTGCTTAATAAATGTTGATCTTCCTCTCTACCCTCACTCATGCTCCCTCATGTACCCACACAAATATTTCTAGGCGTATTAACCCATCTTGCATTGCTATAAAGGAATACTTTGAGGCTGGGTAATTGATAAAGAAAAGTGGTTTATTTGGCTTATGCTTCTGCAGGCTGTACAAGCATGCCATCAGCATCTGACAGGCTTCTGATGAGGCTTCATGAAGCTTTCACTTGCAGCAGAAGGCAAGGGGAACCAGTGTGTCACATGGTAAGAAAAGGAGCAAGAGCGAGAGAAGTGGTGCCAGATTCTTCTTAACAATCAGATCTCGCATGAACTAATAGAGTAAGAACTTGCTCATTGCCAGGGAGAGGGTACCAAGCCATTCATAAGGGATCCTCCTCTGTGACCCAAACACCTCCCAGTAGGCCTCACCGCCAACACTGGGAATCACATTTCAAATGAGACTTGAAGGGGACAAATATCCCAACTATGCCACTAGGGATGAGTCCATAGCAAAACACCTGTAGATGTGTTATTTCATCTCACAACAATCTCCCATCCTGGCAAACGAGTAGTAGAAGCCACACTCCACACAACATTGATTCAAAATTTTGTTTGCCCACATCACACTGGTTCTCCTTCATAGAATTATAAAGTGTGATATCCTTCTACCACCACCATTATTTCTTCCACCTAACACTCTTTTTCATTTTCCTTGGTGCAAAGAACTGAATGTGTTGCAGTCCATTCAATTAACCCAAAATCATATGTTGAAATTCTCATCTTTGATGGGATGGTATGAGATGATGGGGCCCTTGGGAAGCATTTAGAATGAAGCCCTCATGAATGGGATTAGTAACCTTCTAAAATGGACCCAAGAGAGCTCTCTCATTTTCTTTCTGCCATGTGAAGACACAAAGAGAAGAATACCATCTAGGAACCAGGAAGCAGGCCCTCACCAGACACAAAGTAAGTCTTCTGGCACCTTGATCTTGAACTTCTCAGTTTCCAGAGCAGTGAGAAACTGGGTTGTTCAAACCACCCAGTTCGCGGTATTCTATTGTAGCGGCCCAAATGGACTAAGACACTAGGATAAAAAAAGTATTTGTTAACTGCTCATTTTTCATAGTTGGATGCCATTAAATATTGTTTAACATGGATAAAATTAGAAATAGAGGAGATTGGCTGGGCACAGTAACTCATGCCTGTAATCCCAGCACTTTGGGAGGCCGAGGTGGGTGGATCACAAGGTCAGGAGTTCAAGACCAGCCTGGCCAATATGATGAAACCCCATCTCTACTAAAAATACAAAAATTAGCCTGGTGTGGTGGCAGGCACCCACAGTCCCAGCTACTCGGGAGGCTGAGGCTGAAGAATTGCTTGAACCTGGGAGGCAGAGGTTGCAGTGAGCTGAGATCGTGCCACTGCACTCCAGCCTGGACAACAGAGTGAGATTCAGTCTCAAAAAAATAAGAAAAAGAAAAGAAAAGAAAAAAAGAAATGGAGATTATGTAGAGGTAACAATTAGGGAAAAATAAAAACAGAAATAGTCAAAAGTGGTTACCCAATGGGAGTGGTATTTGAAATGGGTAAAGAGGAAGACAGGGGACTTTTACTTTGATTTTAGACTTTTTGGTATTTTTTTTTTACATATGCACATATTGTTTATAATTATCTTTTTAAACTTTCAAATCTTTCCTAAATAGTATAGTTCAGAGATACTTAAGGCTTAATGTCTGTGCCTGAGGAATGGTAAGGTGTTATGCTAGGTATATTTGTTAAGGTAGGCTATTGCTATAAGAAATTAATCTCAAAGTGTATTTTGTCTCAAATACCACAGAAGTCTATTTCTTGGTCTCAGAACAAAGCAGCTCCAAATGGGTGAGATGGGGCTGGAGAAGTGGGAGGAGGAAGAGGGAGGATTGTCTGTTCCACACAATCATTGGAGGACCCAGGGTGGCAGAGGCTCTGCCATTTTCAGCATGTGGTTAAGGTCACCTGAGAATTAACATCCAGCCAGCACAAGGGACAGGAACACGAAGAGGTATGCCTAGGAGAATTGTTGTGGACCAGGCCTGGTAGTGCTGCACATTGCTTCTGCTCATACTGCATTGATTGGAACTCAGTCCATTGGCCACACCTAATTGCAAGAGAGGCTGAGAAATATGAGCCAGCTGAATACCCAGGAAGAAAAGAATGTGGATTTTGGTTAGCAGCTAGCAGTTCTGTCACACAGGATTACAAAATATCCTTTTATGATCCCTACTTTGGAGGACCCATAGTGAAGCCTCATAATGCTAGGACAAAACTCCCACTCTAAAGATAGGATGTAAAAGACTCTTTTTGGCACAGCCCCTCAGCCCACCTCTAATTTCAGCTTAAATTGAACAGTTCCCAAGCTCAGTGTCCAGTGACCCACACTTTGTGGCCTTGTAACTCTCAGTTATTCTGCTCTGTGTCTTTTTTTTCTGAAGCTGCAGGAGCTCCCTCAGCCCATATGCAGAACAGCCCAAAAGTACAGGGAGAATTAACACCATAGGGACAAACCTCAACCAAACATATAATGGAAAAGGCAGGTAAGAGCCGGTTTGTTGGAGGCCACACAAACGTTTCTTATGATTAGGCATCATTGAAGCCTGTCAGTAACAATATGAACCTGTGATCAGTTAAGCAGCTGACCAATCATTACCTCCTCCTTGCTCTTGTTACCCAATAAATACAAAGGGCTGTAGAAGCTCAGGGACTGCCTTTGCTCACTAGAAGCAGGGAGCTCTCTTCTTCCCCATGCTAGCCTTTCCTTAAAATAGTTACTTTTGTTTTTTGTTATCATTTCTATGTTCATCCCTTCATTCAGTCCTGTAATGACAGTCTCAAGCAGTAACAGTAGTAACTGCTGTAATGATAGTCTCAAGTAGTAGTAGTAGCAGTCAGCCACAAGTGGCGCCTGAACAGGGACTAACAGGGACTATCAGGGACAGAGACCTGAAGAGACCTGAAGGGACCTGAAGAGGCCTACAAGGACAAGTAGAGATAAGAGATAAGAGATAAGAAAGAGATAAGAGATAAGAAAGAGATAAGAGATAAGAAAGAGATAAGAGATAAGAGGTAAGAAAGAGATAGGAGATGAGGAAGAGATGAGAAAGAGACAGGAGATGAGGAAGAGATGAGAAAGAGATAGGAGATGAGGAAGAGATGAGAAAGATAGGAAATGAGGAAGAGATGAGAAAGAGATAGGAGATGAGGAAGAGATGAGAAAGAGATAGGAGATGAGGAAGAGATGAGAAAGAGATAGGAGATGAGGAAGATATGAGAAACAGACAGGAAATGAGGAAGAGATAGGAGATGAGGAGGAGATGAGGAAGAGATAGGAGATGAGGAGGAGATGAGGAAGAGATAGGAGATGAGGAAGAGATAGGAGATGAGGAAGAGATAGGAGATGAGGAAGAGATAGGAGATGAGGAGGAGATAGGAGATGAGGAGGAGATGAGGAAGAGACAGGAGATGAGGAAGAGACAGGAGATGAGGAAGAGACAGGAGATGAGGAAGAGACAGGAAATGAGGAGGAGATGAGGAAGAGATAGGAGATGAGGAGGAGATGAGGAGGAGATGAGGAGGAGATGAGGAGGAGATGAGGAGGAGATGAGGAAGAGATAGGAGATGAGGAAGAGATAGGAGATGAGGAAGAGATAGGAGATGAGGAAGAGATAGGAGATGAGGAAGAGATGAGGAAGAGATAGGAGATGAGGAAGATATAGATAGGGGACAGCTAGGGGATAGGTAGGGACTTGTAGGAACTAACAGGTGCCATAGAGACAGATAGGGATAAAGACTAGCAAAGACTAGCAATATAAGGTCAGTGCCCTAAAGAGGTACAAAAGTAGAGACTAGCAAAGACTAGCAGAGATTTGCAGGGACAGACAGGGTCCTATAGGGACTTGAATGAGGAAGGTCTGCTGGAACATAAAAAACTAAAGCCCAGAAAAAACTAAAACCAACCAGATGAACTAGACACCCCGTTACAAGTCTGCCAGCAGCAACATAAGGTCAGTGCTCTACAAAGGTACTGGTCAGTGCCCTAGAGGTACAAAGAACAGGGAGTTTTTGAATCAGGGTAACATGAGGAAGAATTTGGTTATTTCTTTTCTTTTTTGTTTGGAGTTTGGTATGTACCATCTTCGTGTTATTATTTCGGGGTTTAATAGAATTTTTTGCCCCAACTACAGCACCTATCGAAAGTGGTGAACAGGAAAGGGAGAATGGAAATTGGCTTGTACCATCTTTTGTGGCTACAGAAGGGCTAACTTTAGCTTCGGCTTTCATGGATTGTAAACATGCACTGGCACCTGTGAGATGTACAGAGGACTTGAGAAGTTTTCTCGGAGCTTGTCAGGATGTGGGAACTGAGCTTCATTGCTCTGCAGTATTGACTCAGGCAATGGCTAATTTGGTAACTGACAGATCTAAAAGAAGCCAAGGGTCAAGCCCTAAAGTGGGAAAGTGTTATAAGTGTAGAAAAATTGGAGGTTTCAAAAGAGAATGCCATCAGACCTCTGGCAAAAACAGATCTTGTAATACAGTTCCCCTCTTACCAGAAAAAGTGTCAGGACTTTGCCCTCCTTGCAATAAAGGAAACTACTGGGCTAACCAATGCCACTCAAAATTTCATCCAAACGGCACCCCCCCTGTCGGGAAGCAAGAAGGGGGCCTGAACCCGGGCACTTCAAACTAAGAGGACATTCCCCATTCAGGCCACAACTCCATCTCAGGGGTAGGTTTCCAAAGGCGCATTGATTCCCTCTCCCCAGGAACACCTGGAAACACAGGATTAGCTCTCCTAGCTAGAGAAAAAATTACATTAATTGAAAGAAACAAACTCACTAAGATTCACACTGGCATTTGGGGATCTTTGCCAACAAGATACATGGGACTGATTTCGGTAAAAGCTGTCTTAACTTACAGACCCAGGAGTTGTTGATTTTGATTGTGAAGGAGAAATTCAGGTAGTAGTAATGCCATAAGATCTTTGGGTTTTTGAACCGGGAGAGTGCATTGCTCATTGTTGCTTACTCCCTATAAATTGTACCCTTCTCTACCCAAGAAGAAATGAGATCAGGGATTTGGAAGTACAACTACGTGGGAGATTTATTTATCACAACCCATAGCATCTCATAGACCCACTTGCGCAGTGTAGATTGAAGAAAACTTTTGTGGGTTTATGGATATGGGAGCAAGAGACTGGGCTTTCGTGGTAATAGATCTTGAGGATTGTTTACAAGAAGGATAAGCCTCGATTTGCTTTTTCTGTGTCTTCTGTTAATCAGAAAGAGCCTGTTTCTTGTTATCAATGGAAAGTTTTACCCCGTGGCAATTAACCAAAGAGGCAGAGGCTGAGTTGCAGCTTGTAGAACAAATCCTTCAGCAATGGCGTGCCTGCTGGCTACAGCCACACGAGACTTTTGCTTCTGTTTCGCTAGATTTACTAACGTGGGGTCGAGGGTATGCTTGTGTTTTTGCAGGAGATGAACAAAGCGTGTGGGTACCCTCAAAATGTGTATGACTATGGAACAGGAGACTGGAGGGACCCATGAATCCCAACCATGGACCTGGTTCCCCCAGTATGAGCCACAAGCCAGTTGAATCTGAATGCGAAGACGGAACGAGGACCAACTGGAGTCACACTGACATCAACCCCCATAACATGGGGACAGATCAAGAAAACCACACAGAAAGCTGAGAAACTGCTGGAGCACCAGGGTTTCACCTTTTGCTGGAACTCAGAGGTACAATCAATGCTTAACGGACCAATGCTTTAACTGAGCTCCTCTCTACCCTGAATACAAGAGACACTAATAGTTAGGCAGGAATATCATCGTTCCTATTCAGCATGAAGTTGCAGAAGATGGACCTTCATCCTTCTGCAACCCTTAGGATTAAGGGTCCTCTTGTAAAAGGGAAGGGGGAAATATGTAAGAAGCATTCAAACCAGAGCAACTCCATTTTGAATAAGGCCTAGGGAAAAAGAAGCTGGATCGCCAACTGGCAATTAAAGGCTGCACAGCCTGCAATTGTCTTGCTCAATTAATTTAAAAACAAAAAGAAGGAGATGTTGGAGGCTGCACAAATGTTTCTTATGATTAGGCATAATTGAAGCCTGTCAGTAACAATATGAACCTGTGATCAGTTAAGCAGCTGACCAATCGTTACTACCTCCTCCTTGCTCTTGTTACCCAGTAAATAAAAAGGGCTGTAGAAGCTCAGGGGCTGCCTTTGCTCACTAGAAGCAGGGAGCTCTCTTCTCCATGCTAGCCTTTCCTTAAAATAGTTATTTTTGTTTATCATTTCTACTTTCGTCCCTTTGTTCAGCCCTGTAATGACAGTCTCAAGGAGTAACAGTAGTAACTGCTGTGATGGTCTGAAGTAGCAACCGTGGGAGTTGGCCACACAGGTTCATCAGTTTTATTCATATTAGCTAAAGTGGAAACAACCCAATGCCCATCAGCGGAATAGATACATTCATCATGGTATATTCATAAAATGATATACTACATGGCAATCAATAGAACAAACTACTGAAATAAGCAACAATGTGGATGACTCTCAGAGATATTAAGTGAGTGAAAGAAGCCAAATTTAAAAGAGTACATACTGTATGACTTCACTCATACATAGTTCAAAAATAGGTAAAACTACTCGATGATAGAAGTTGGAATAATGATTACTTAGCCATGGAGTTAGGATACAGACTGAGAAGCAGCAAGAGGAAACTTTTTTAGGTGATGGGAATTTTCTATATCTTGATTTGTGTGGTGATGACATAAGTGAATACACATGCAATAATTCATGAAGTTATTAGGATTGGTGCTTTGGGTGTATGTGTATTATCCCTCTAGAAACATTAAAAAAAATTACTGAGGGTTCTAGTCACAAGAAACTTATTAGGTAAGCAACGAACAGTATTTGTGATACCCACTCCTGGGGGGCCTGAGAACTCAGGATCTTAGTCTTCCTATACTATCTACCTGCAGTGCCTGTCTCACTGACCCTATGAAGGAGAAGGATCTGCAGAGCACATTCTCAGGACATCTACCCATGAGGCTGGTGGGACTCTTGTGATTGCTACTTGAATTGGAATAATCGGAACGGACACATGTAAAAGGAATGCAGAAGGACCAGACAGATCTCTTCAAATGTAAACCTATGACTTAAAATTCAGTTTCATGAGCACTGTGGGAGACCTGAGTTTTTAACAGCTGGAGCCAATAGTGAAGATAGATCTGGAAATTTAATTATCCATGGTAAGCACAAATAATCAGAATTTCGGTTGACAACTGGGAGGCCTCCTTTCCTTCCTGCTATCGTCATCTTAAGCCTACATTGAAATATGTGGTTCCTAAGGTCTTCACTGGTTGGAACCCAGAAATATCTTCTCATGCATTTTATTTGGTTAGCAGGCTTAATTTAAATAAAGCATCCGGTGAAGACTTTCTCCTATCAAAATTATTCAAAGCCTCTTCTAAATGACTTCCTCCAAAATACAGACCCATCTGTTTGTTAAACACTTCATTTAAACTTAATGCCTATTTATCCCTAAAAATATGTCAGATTGAGGATTTCTGGGTCAGTATTTTACACAAGATTCAATAGTCGCAAGTCCTGATACTTCATTATTCCCTAATGGAAAAATTTATCAGGAATAATTGTTAGTTGCCTCACTTTTTTCTTGAAATTAAATGGGCCTAACTTTAAAAAAACTTAGAGAATTATAGACTTGGTTTTTCCTGTTTTTAACTTACTTCTCTTCTGCCTTTAACTCTGGACAAGAATGACTCTAGGGTAAGCTGCCTGAGCGCAGTATTAACTTCCAGTTGGTTCTTCATTTTTTATTTTGAGACAGAGTCTTGCTTTGTCACCCAAGCTGGAGTGCTGTGGTGCAATCTCGGCTCACTGCAAACGTCCTGAGTTTAACCAATTCTGAGCAATTTTCCTGCCTCAGCCTCCGGAGTCACTGGGATTACAGGTGCCCACCACTGTTCCCATCTAATTTTTGTATTTTTAGTAGAGACGGGGTTTCACCTTGTTAGTCAGACTGGTGAACTCCTGACCTTAAGTGATTCGCTTGCCTCCACCTCCCAAAGTGCTGGGATTACAGGCATGAGCCACTGTGCCTGGCCTGGTTCTTGTACAAAAGCTGCATTTTAACATCTTGGCAAGAGTCAATATCTGCATCCTTACTAATCTGCCTTCTAGTAAACCAGGTAGCTAGATTGAGGGCCCTGAAGCAGGACTGTGAGTCTGACTCCCACACTTTTTCTGATTTTTTTAATAGTAAAAACACATAACATTAAATTTACCATCTTAACCATTTTTAAGTGTACAGTTCAATAGTGTTAAGTATATTCACATTGTTGTGCAACAGATCTCTGGAATGTTTTCATCTTGCAACACGGAAACTCGATACCCATTAGACACAAATTCCCCCTCCCCACCTCCAGCCCTTGGTAACCACCTTTCTGCTTTCTGTTTCTATTATTTTGACTACTTTATTTTGTTTTTTGTTTTGTTTTGAGACAGAGTCTCGCTCTGTTGCCCAGGCTGGAGTGCGGTGGTGTGGTCTTGGCTCACTGCAACCTCCAACTCCTGGGTCCAAGTGATTATCCTGCCTCAGCCTCCCAAGTAGCTGGGATTATAGGCATGAACCACTGTGCCTGGCCTTGATTTTGACTACTTTGGATACTTCATGAGAGGAATCATACAATATTTGTCTTTTTGTGCCTAGTTTATTTTGCTTAGCCTATGTCCTCAAGCTTTGTCCATGTCCCCACACTTTCTTCTTCACCACTCTGAATGGTAGAAAACTGTTGGGTGACCTGGGTTCATCTCCCTCTGCTGGAGGCATGAACTAGGAATGGTTTTAATGTTGCTCAAAATTGAACTTTTCACAATTAGAAGCATTTTGTGGCTTTTTCTATCTGTCGTGAGTGATTGGTAAAAATTTCTTTGAAAATCTTCCATGCTAAGTCACCTCATTCACGCTCTAGAATGGAAAACTAGGGGTACTTGAATATGTTCACTTATTGAGGGCCCAGAATAGGCCCTTTAGAATGATCATCCCTTGATTACAGGAACTCTTTCAGTGTACCTTTGAAATGAGGTAGATTGTATTTTACAAAAATGGCTGCAACAGAATTTCTAGCCCTACATGCTCTTCTTAACCTTGCCACTTCCCCATCAACGCTTGGAATCACATCCCCTTTGCTTGAACCTGGGCAGACATTTGTGCATGCCTCAATGAACAGAATGTAGTATAAATGCATGACTTCCAAGGATGGCTCATAAAAGAGAATATAACTTCTATCTGATTCCCTCTCTATCTCTCTCGGACATGCGCCTTTAGAGTCCTGAGCCACCTTGTAGGAAGTCCAGTTATCCTAAAGTCAGACTGCTGGAGAGACCATGTGCAAACACTCCATAGAAATGGAGTTGTCCAAGGAGCCAGTTGTTCCAGCCCCCAGCTGATTGAGTCTTCCTAGCCTGGCAGCAGACATGTGAGTAAGCAAGCCTTCAGATGATGCCAGCCCCAGCCTCTGTCTGACTGTAACTGCATGAGAAAAGCTGAGCAAGAACTACCTAGATGAGCCCTGTCAACCCCCACAACCATGAGAGATAATAATAATGACCACTGTTGTTTAAACCACTAGGTTTTAGGGTGGTTTTCTAGGCAGCAATAGATAATGGGAACAGACCGCTAGTCATCCACTTATCGTAAAGAAGGTTAGATGACTTATGTTTCATAAAACCTTGTTGTATTAGTCTGTCTTCCCACTGCTAATAAAGACATACCCGAGATTGGGTAATTTACAAAGAGAGGTTTAATGGGCCCACAGTTCCACATGGCTGGGGAGGCCTCACAATCATGGCAGGAAGGCAAAAATACACATCTTACATGGCAGCAGGCAAATAGAGAATGAGCGCCAAGCAAAAGGGGTTTCCCCTTATAAAACCATCAGATCTCACGAGAACAGTATGGGGGAAACCGCCCCCATGTTTCAAATATCTCCCACTGGGTCCTCTCACCCCTGTACCCCCCACACAACACGTGGTAATTATGGGAGCTATGAGATGAGATTTGGGTGGGGACGCAACCAATCCATATCACTTGTAAAAAATCCTATTTGTTAACTAAGATATACACTACCACCTTAAAGCAACAACACAGAACAACCACCCTTCAGGCCTTGATAGAGTATAAACTCCAACAATCTGCTCCGAACCCTAATCAAAGGTTGATATGGTTTAGCTGTGACCCCACCCAAATCCCATCTTGAATTGTAGTTCCCATAATCCCCACAGGTTGTGGGAGGGACCAGGTGGAGATAATTGAATCATAGGGGTGATTTCCCACATCCTGTTCTTGTGATAGTGAGTTCTCACAAGACCTGATGGTTTTATAAGGGGCTTCCCCCTTCACTGGACACTCATTCTTCTTGCTGCTGCCATGTAAAGAAGGACATGTTTGCTCCCCCTTCTGCCATAATTGTAAGTTTCCTGGGGTCTCCCCAGCCATGCTGAACTCTGAGTCAATTAAACCTCTTTCCTTTATAAATTACCCAGTCTCGGGTATTTCTTCATAGCAGCATGGGAAGGGACTAATACAAAGGTCTCATTAAGTGAGGTGATCTCACTGGAGAAGTGTTTGAAGGACTTGTACTCCTCTGGATTTTCTAGAAGTATTCTTTGATTTAATGACAATTTTAGAAAGTTTCCATCTCGAGCCATGCTTCCTTGGTCTGTGTTAGAATTGCCCTCAGTGAGTCGGGCTGTAGGTTATGCTGCAGGTTTCGTGCTACAAGACAGCTTTAGGAAAGCTCCGTTGCATTTGCTACAGGATATTCTTACAAATATCGTTGAGGACACTGTTTACCACATCCATCAATGTCCCAGATATAAAACTCCATACTAGAAATTTCTTTTAGAGCTAAATTCCAATAAAAGCTTGAGAAACTAAGGCGGGGAGTGGTGCTCACCCCTGTAATCCCAGCACATCGGAAGGCCAAGGCAGGTGGATCCCCTGAAGTCAGGAGTTCGAGACCAACCTGGCCAACAGGGGCAAAACCCCATCTCTACTGAAATATGAAAATTAGGCGTGGTGGCGAGTGCCTGTAATCCCAGCTACTTGGGAGGCTGAGGCAGGAGGATTGCTTGAACCCAAGAGGGAGAGGTTGCAATGAGCTGAGATCGCACCACTGTACTCTATCCTGGGCGAGAGCAAGACTCTGACTCAAAAAAAAAAAAAAAAAAAAAAACTTGAGAAACTAGAATGTTTTGCCTTTTGCCTTTATAGTCAAGAGAATCACGATTAGCCTTTATTTTCGCTTTTTCAGCAGAAAACTCAAATTCAAATCTGTGGCTCAGCTTAGAAAATTATGTGGAGCCCTATTGCTTGTATATCTCATTTCATCCCATTCACTTGTTGTTTTTTCCTAATGTATGTTTCTCATGATCCTGGCTTTATTATTTATATTTTATGTTTGATCAAATGTATTGTAAGCTTTTTCAAATCCCTTGTAGAAGAGAACATAATACTAATTTTTTTTTTTAAGACAGAATCTCACTGTTATTACCCAGGCTGGATTACAGTGGTGTGATCACAGCTCACTGCAGCCTCCACCTCTTGGGCTCAAGCAATCCTCCCACCTCAGCCTCCTACGTAGCTGGGATCACAGGCAAGTGCCACCATGCCCAGCTAATCTTTTGATTTTCTGTAGATATGGGGTCCCCCCATGTTGCCCAGGCTGGTCTTGAACTCCTGGGCACATGTGATCTCCCCACCTCAGCCCCGCAAAGTGTTGGGGTTACAGGCATGAGCCATCATGCCTGGCCCATAATAATTATAAAGAGAGAGATGAATGAAGATAGGAATAAGTAAATTACCCTTGTGAGACCTCAGCAAATTATAGGCCTCCCACAGGTCTGGTTTAATGATTTATTCATTTACTTTTAAATGTGGACTAAGCCTGGGTGCCATGGCTCACGCCTGTAATCCCAGCACTTTGGGAGGCCATGGCAGGTGGATCACCTGAGGTCAGGAGTTCAAGACCAGCCTGGCCAACATGATGAAACCCCATCTCTACTAAAAATACAAAAAATTAGCTGGGTATGGTGGCAGGGGCCTGTAATCCCAGCTACTCAGGAGGCTGAGGCAGGAGAATCACTTGAACCTGGGAGGCGGAGCTTGCAGTGAGTCAAGATTGTGCCACTGCACTCCAGCCTGGGCAGCAACAAGAGCAAAACTCCATCAAAAAAAAAAAAAATTGTGGATTAAGCATCTACTTTCAATCAGGCATTATATTAGGGAGAGTCACAGCTGAAAAGATTTTTTTTTAAAACACACAGTTTTTGCTTTCAGGGAAACAATGTCTGAGGGTAGTCCAGACATTTAGCGCTCAGTAGCAGCAGCTAATGATTTCAAATGGTGACATCTTTGAGGTCCCATAGACATCATAAAACCAGATCTCTTAATCTTTCTCATAAATAAGCCGGGGGAAGAAAGTAGGGAGCAGATATTAGATGAACATGATCTTTAGGTTCCTGGCCAGAAACTTCCAGAGGCTACCATCTCAAAAATTCCTCCCAGTTTTAGAGAAATTGTTTAAGTTGTCCCTTAGACCTGGATCACCACTTCTACGCTGACCAATTTGTTTACCCTCTGTGAGGCCAACACTTGTAACTCTCTGGTTTGTGACCTGGCTGCTAATTCTACTTCCATACTGATTCTTTGATTCCTACACAGGTCTTCTATAGTCTTCATTTGTATCAATTAGGTAAACTTTTACGTCTGTCTCTTAGGACGCACCAAGGTGTCCTCCAAACCTGGGAACTCTCAGCTTCTCCTCTTGCCAATGGTGACAATAAATCTAATCTTCCTTGTCAACCTTAAGCCTTGGAGTTCTGGCCCACGTCATTATTGCTGACAGTGTTTCTGTCGAAGTTTCTACTGTCCTTTGAGCTCTGTACTCTTGTCTTTTAAAGCTTGTCCTGTTACTTAAGATATTTTGCCCTTTTTCTAAGAAAGCCTTTCCTTACCCACTCTGCAACATTCCTGGAAAATGTGGTTATTAATTCCATTATTCTAGAATCTAGATTCCAAAGCAGATGCTTTATTAGCTAATGTAACTATTCATAAATGCTTTGTAAATAAATAATCCCTTCTGGCTTCTCTAAATGCTGGGTTCCAGGCATTTGTAACAAAAATGCAAATAAGCCTGCCCTTCTGTAGGCCCTTGTCTATGGGGTTTTAATAAACTATAGTACTCTGAGCTAAATTTACATAGGTCTACATTGCTTTTTTGAAATATTAATATGCTATCTTCCCTTGACCTAATAAGAGATATGTGACCTCAGCTAATTTCCCTGGCAAATAATTTGTCAAAAAGGTGAATATTCTTCTTGGCAAATAATCCTCATGGCTGTCATTTTTCTAAATGTAACATAAAAAGAAAGCGTTTCCCCTTCTCATATACAGGAAAATCATTTAGAGGTGACTTTAGCAACTGTTCTTTGACACACCCACATCATCTGCCACTGAGCATTCTGTGCTCAGTGATTGCTCGAAGTGTCAGTGCTGCAGAATAAAACCACATTCAGGTGATGATGGCCCCATGACTCAACACATCCCCAAAGGTTGAGGATATCCCTCTCCAATATAGTACCTTTCATCTGCTCTAGCGTTTCATTAATACCATCCACCCTCCCTTCCCCTGACATTTTGTCAAATAAATATCCACCTGTAAGAACTATCTAAATGACTTTCACTGCTGTTTTGAAGGATTTGGTTCAAAAATATAATTTGTATCTTCTTGTCCTCCCAGTTGGTGGTATTAAGAAAATCTTAGAGCAAAACCTCCATGCTGTGCTTCTACAGAGAATAATTAGGTCTATCCCATAACCAAAGCAGATTTTATATACAACTCACTCATTTCTTTAACCGGAACATTCTTTTTCATAGAAACTGGTTCCACATCTGCTTTTTCCCCTGTATCTTTAAGCACTCCTATTACCTCAGCAACTGGCCATTACCAGTAGAAGCCATACGTCATTAGAGAAAGCCTGCAGGAAATCCTCTGGGCAAAGAGCAATATGTGTTAATTGCTACTGAGCCCTAAGAAAATATATTCAAGTGGGAAACATCTAGTTATTTTTCTTATGCAAACATAATCACCCATGATAAAACTGAGATGACCGGCACTGGGGTACTTCAAGGTCTTAAAAAAATATTGACTTCATGGCCTACTCTGTCAGTCAGAACACTTTGTATTGCAAGTGACAGAAAATCCATCTCTTTTTTTTTTTTTTTAAGAGAGGGTCTCATTCTGTCACCCATGCTGGAGTACAGTGGCATAATCTCGGCTCACTGCAACCTCTATCTCCTGGGTTCAAGCAATTCTTATGCCTCAGCCTCTCGAGTAGCTGGGATTACAGGCACCTGCCACCACGCCTGGCTAATTTTTGTGTTTTCAGTAGAGACGTGGTTTCACCATGTTGGCCAGGCTGGTCTTGAATTCCTGACCTCAAGTGATCTGCCCACCTCAGCCTCCCATAGTAATGGGATTACAAGCATGGGCTACCATGCCCAGCCAGAAAATCCATCTTTAAATGATTTAAATAACAAAGGCAAGTTTTTGGCTCATGAAACTCACAGGCTAAGATTGAGAACTGGTTCTAAAAAGAGGCTTGAGCCTGCAGTACAAACCGTGTCACCAAGGGCCAGATTTCTCTCTCTCTCCACTCAGTGTTGGCTTCATCCTCCGTTTCCACGCTACAGCCCTTGGGTGGTTCTAGAATTTTCTTAATAACAAAATGGCTGCAGAAGTTCCAGCACATTCCATCACAGCACACCGTCCAGACAGATGCATGTAGTTTCTGAAGAACTGAGAGGCTTTTCTAGAAGCCTAAGCAGACATTTCCTTGAGCTTCATCAGCTGTATTGAACATGACCATCCCTAAACAAATAACTGGTATCTAGGAAATGAAGTTGGAGCTGAGGGTAGCTGTCCCCAAAGAAAATCAAGAAAAGGAATGAATCTGGGGCAGTGGAAACAATGTCTATCAAATCTTCCTACCTGTGTACATTTACCCTGTTTTCCACAATTCCCTGCTCTACCTGAGAAACCCTTGCTCATCTAAACTGATGTAATTTTGCTGTTTTTAACTCAGGGGACCACTTTCACTAGGTTATCTCATCTACTGCCAAGGTCTTAAATACCATCCAGGTGACATGCCTCTTTAAAGAAATCCTTTCAGTCCAGACCTTTCTCCTGAATGTAAAAAAAGATGTTCTCAACCATCTACTAGATATCCACATTTGTTTTTCTCAAAAGCATTTCAAACTATTGTGGGGTTTTGTTTGTTTGTTTTCTTTTTGAGACAGAGTCTCACTCTTGCTGGAGTGCAGTGGCACGATTTTGGCTCACTGCAGCCTCAGCCTCCTGGGCTCAAGTGATCCTCCCACCTCAGCCTCCCGAGTAGCTGGGACTACAGGCATGTGCCACCATGCCAGCTTAATTTTTTGGTTGAGACAAGATTTCACCATGTTTTCTAAGCTGGCCTTGAACTCCTGGGCTCAAACAGTCTGCCTGCCTTGGCCTCCCCAAGTGTTGGGATTACAGGCGTCAGCCACCACATCCAGCCACCAAAGTATTCTTTTTAAAAAAGAAGCCTTATATTTTAGAGGTAGATGGTAAAATCTTTACAGAAGAAATGATATGATATTTGGGATTTGCTTCAGAATATTTCAGTGGAAGGAGAGCGAGTAGTGTCAGGATGGCTAAACCATTAGATGAATTGTTGAAGCTGAAGGTGAGTACACATGACGTTATTATACTGTTCTTTGCACTTTTGTGTATATTTGACACTTTTCATAAGAAACCTTTTTAAAGGCACTTTGAACTCAACATGTTTGTGAAAGTTAAGGTATAGATTCAGCCGGTCACGATGGCTCACACTTGTAATCCCAGCATTTTGGGAGGCCAAGGCAGGTGGATTACCTGACGTCAGGAGTTGGAGACCAGCCTGGCCAACATGGTGAAACCCCATCTCTACTAAAAATAACACAAATTAGCTGGACGTGGTGGCAGATGCCTGTAATTCTAGCAACTTTGGAGTCTGAGGCAGGAGAATTGCCTGAATCCAAGAGGTGGAGGTTGCGGTGAGCCAAAATTGTGCCACTATACTCCAGCCTGGGCAACAAAAGCAAAATTCTATCTCAAAAAAAAAAAAAGAAGAAAAAGAAAAAAAGATATAGTTTCAGCCACATGAAAAGAGACCTAAAACAATACAACATAGTTTTAGAGGAGAAAAGCTCTTTTTCTCTCATGTAAAAGTCTAGCATAGGACTCTCCAGGGTCAGGGGCCCAAGTTCCTTCTATCTTGTTGCTCCACTATTCCTTTGCTCTTCATGGTCCCACATCAATCAATATCATATCACATTTTGACCAGCAAGAAGGAAAACACAAAGTGGGTATGCCACTCTTTTTTTTTTTTTTTTTTTTTTTTTTTTTTTTTTTTTTGAGATGGAGTCTCACTCTTTTTGCCCAGGCTGGAGTGCAATGGCACGATCTCAGCTCACCACAACCTCTACCTGCTGGGTTCAAGCAATTCTCCTGCCTCAGCCTCCTGAGTAGTTGGGACTACAGGTGCATGCCACCATGCTCAGCTTATTTTTGTATTTTTAGTAGAGATGGGGTTTCACCATGTTGGCCAGAGTGGTCTCAATCTCTTGACATCATGATCTGCCTGCCTCGGCCTCCCAAAGTGCTGGGGATTACAGGTGTGAGCCACCGTGCCCAGCCTGCCACTCTTTTTAAGAGCACAAACCAGAAGTTGCAAACATTACTTCCACTCAGATCCTATTGCCCAGAACTTAATCATGTGAATAATCTAGCTGCAAGGAAGGCTGGGAAATATATTGTTTTTCTAGGTAGACACATGCCAAGCTAAAGACTTCTAATACTAGGAAGAGAAGGGATATTGAGAGGCAACTAACAGTCTCTGGCCTATTCTGCCCTTTTAGTCACCCAAATATGTATGTATACCTTCTTTCCACACATTGATTTCCTCTCTTGTGTCAGAAACTGCCAAACCGGCCAGTGTCTGTATCCAGCTCAAAGTTCACAGTCTCTGGTTAATTCTGTCCTCTTTCTAATGTCTGTATGCAATTCCTCATGGTTTGGTAGCCTGTAAACTAAAACATGAGTTACCTGCCTCACACCTTACTTTTATAAATTATGGAGTAGGAATGGGATAGCTATTATTTTTTTTTTAATTCTTTGAAAAAGAGAAGAATGGGAAACACACAGCAGCCTCAGGTTCATAGCAATCATCAAACCCCACAGAGCAGTAATCGCAAAGATTCCTGCCCTGGTAGCAGAGGAAGTCCCTAGATAATCCCACCTGGCACTTGTTCTTCCTGCTCCCTGGGCGGTGGTGAATGGGGGAAGCTTAGACTTCTCTAATGAATCCTTGTCCCTTCCTTTTCATGGCCCCAGGTTTGTCCTATGAGAAGTTCCTTTTCTCCATTCCTCTCTATGGCTGTATCTGAAGTATGCTTTGTAGAATATACCCTACTTGGGGCTGCCCAGTTTTCAAAAGAGGCTTCTGTGGTACAGGTTTGGGGGTCTTCATGCAACTAATCACACAGCCAAAGGTTTCCCCTAAACATTTAAAAAACTTCTTAACATTATTTTTTATTTTTGTGGGTACATAGGTATACTACACATTCCTTAAGTCAGAAGACTGATCTTTTATGGAAAAGACATGGAAACAGATTCTCTGAAGGCATGCAGTCCTGCCAATGCCTTGATTGTAGGCCAGTGAGCTCCATTTCAGACTTCTGACCTGTAGAACTGTAATAAGTTTGTGTTGTGTTAAGCTATTAGGTGGCTGGGCACAGTGGCTCATGCCTATAATCCCAGTACTTTGGGAGGCCAAGGCAGGTGGATAGCTTGAGCTCAGGAGTTGGACATCAGCCTTAGCAACATGGTAGAGGCCCGTCTCTACCAAAAATACAAAAAATTAGCTGGGCATAGTAGCACGCGCTTGTGGTCCCAGCTACTACGGAGGCTGAGGCAGGAGGATCACTTGAGCCTGGGAGGCAGAGGTTGCAGTGAGCCAAGATTACACTACTACACTCCAGCCTGAGCAACACAGACCCCATCTTAAAAAAAAAAAAAAAAAAGCCATTTGGCTTGTAGTAATTTGTTACAGCAGTTATAGGAAACTGATACAAGAGCCTTCTATTAGTTAACACACGGAGCTGTGATACTACCAAACCTGTAAGAGGTGAGTTGGAGAGATGAGAAGAGGCATGTTTGTGACAGCTCTGCCCTGGCTCTTTTTTTTTTTTTTTGGTGGGCGGGGAGGGGGGGCTGGGTCTCACACTGTCTCCCAGGCTGAGTGTAGTGGTGCGATCACAGCTTACTGTAGCCTCAACCTCCTGTGTTCAAGCAATTCTCCCACCTCAGCCTCCTGAGTAGCAAGGACCACACGTGTGCACCAACATGCCAGGCTAATTTTTTAATTATTTGTAGAGATGGGATCTCACTATGTTGCTTAGGCTGGTCTAGAACTCCTGGGCTCAAATGATCTTCCTCCTCAGGCTCCCAAAGTGTTGGGATTATAGGTATGAACCACCATGCCTGGCCTCCGCCCTGGCTCTTTGAGCACACCTTCTTGTGCCATATAGAGACCAGCACAATAAATCCAGCAGTAACAACCTCCCACCAAGTACAATTTGGACAGGCCGAGACTCTGGACTCCTCACTGCATCTATTTATTTTTCTCCACTTTTAGATCTCTGGCGCGTGCGCGTGTGTGTGTGTGTGTGTGCGCGCGCGCGTGTGTGTGTGTGTGTGTTTTGAGACAGGGTCTCACTCTGTCACCCAGGCTGGAGTGCAGTAGTACGACCATAGTTCACCAAATCCTGGATATCCCAGGCTCAAGTGATTCTCCCACCTCAGCTTCCCGCGTAGCTGAGACTACAGCTGTGTGCTACCATGCCCAACTAAATTTTTTTTTTTTAAAGACAGTGTCTCGCTATGTTGCTAGGGCTGGTCTTAAACTCCTGGGCTCAAGCAATCCTCCTGCCTTGGCCTCCCAGAGTGCTGGGATTACAGGTATGACCTACTGTGCCCAGCCTGATTCCTGGCTTTTAAATTCCTGAAACAACTCTCTAATTTCTAACTTTATTTGTTTTAAGAGATGAGTGTCATGTTGTTGCACAGGCTGGAGTGCAGTGCCACTACCACAGCTCACTGCAGCCTCAAACTCCTGGGCTCAGTTGATACTCCTAACTCAGCCTCCTAAGTAGCTGGGACTACAGGTGCACCACTGCACCTGGCTATTTTTTTTTTTTGTTGTTGTTGTTGTTAGAGACAGGGTCTTGTTATGTTGCCCAGGCTGATCTGGAACTCCTGGCCTTAATCCATCCTCCCACCTCGGCCTCCCAAAGCACTGGGATTATAGGTGTGAGCCACCGTAATATCTGCCGCTGCCACTTGCCCTCAGGCTGCAAAGATCCAGATTTCTCTTCTCACTCAGCTCAGCTCTCTATATAACTGTGTTTGGCATGTTCCCTTGATTTCTGTGACATTTACAGCTTCAGGCAACAGACCTTCTCCCTCACCAGCCTTGGTGCTACAGAACTCCCACCAGCCTGGCTGGTCCTTAGGACTAAAGGAAGCAGAAATTTAGGGGAAAATGATGCACTGATTGGGGTATTGTGTTACCAAGGATTTA
Source organism: Homo sapiens (assembly GCF_000001405.40). Taxonomy (NCBI): domain Eukaryota; kingdom Metazoa; phylum Chordata; class Mammalia; order Primates; family Hominidae; genus Homo; species Homo sapiens. The sequence continues at coordinate 69,217,021 of NC_000012.12, forward strand.
GCAGGAAAACATAGATTTGACCCATGAAATATCCAAAAAGCACATAAATAACTGTAAAAGTCTATGACAAGTAAAAATTGTAATATGCTGCTCAAGCCTTATAAAACATAAATAAATGCCTATCTGCATAGATTTCCTAAGACTGACTATACCATAAAGAATATAGTCAGGCAGGGGCACAGTGGCTCACACCTGTAATCCCAGCATTTTGGGGGGCTGAGATGGGAGGAGTGCTTGAGCTCAGGAATTCAAGACCAGCCTGGGCAACATGGGGAAACCCCATCTGTACAAAAATTAGCTGCGTGTGATGTTGAGCTCGTAGTTCCAGCTACTTGAGAGGCTGAGGCAGAAGGATCACTTGAGCCCAAGAAGTTGAGGCTATGGTTGAGCCATGATCACACCACTGCACTCAAGCCTGAGTGACAGTGTGAGATCCTGTCTCAAAAAAAAAAAAAAAATGCAGTCATTGGGAGGCTAAGGCAGGAGGATTGCTTGCGACCAGGAGTTCGAGACCAACTTGGGCAATGTAATGAGACTCCATCTCTACAAATATATTAAGAAATTAGCTGTACATGGTGTCACATACCTGTAGTCCCAGCTACTCTGCGGTGGGAGGATCACTTAAGCCCAGGAGATTGAAGCTGCAATGAGCCATGATCATGCCACTACACTGCAGCTTAGGCAACAGAGCAAGACCCTGTCTCAAAAAAAAAAAAAAAGGATATAATCAGCCCATTACTGGATATAATCAACATTACTAATTCATAAATTTGACTTAAGCCAAATATGCTAAGTATATAAATATTAATTACTAGTTAGACATTCAATTAATGCTTTGCTGGTGGCTTTCTTGTATTTAATTTTGAGGAAAATCTAGGGGACCCAAGTTTTATTAAAAGTTATTCTCAAAAATAATTATTGTTGTAGTATCTGTTATGGTTTAATGTCCCCAACACAACTCATGCTGAAATTTGTCGATGTAAAGGTAATTGGAGGTGGGGCCTTTGAAGGGCTCTGACCCCATGAAGAAATTAATGCCAGTGTCCATGGGAGTAGGTTATTTTGTGGCTGGGCTCCTGATAAAATAATGGGTGCAACCATGGGATGACCCTTGCCAGATGTCAGCATCATGCTTTGGACCCAGGCTGTGAAATTCTGTTATAGCAGCAAAATGCAAAGACAGCATCTGTAAGTGAAAAATTGTGAACAACCTAAATATCCAACAATAGAACAATGGCTAAGTAAATTTGCATAGACATAAAATAAAGTATTTGATCATTCAAATTTATCTTTAAAAAAAATCTTAACTTAAAAAGTGTTTTATAATAAATGAAGAAAGCAAGATGGAAAATGATACACAGCATTATCTCAACTTTGAAAAATTATGCATTGAGAGTTAGACACTGTAGCTTGTGCCTGTTAATTCCAACTACTCAGGAGGCTGAGGTGGGAGGTTTGCTTGAGGCTAGGAGCTCAAGACTAGTCTAAGCAATGTAGAGAGACCCTGTTTCTAATGAAAATTTAAAAATTAGCCTACGCGGTGGTTTGTGCCTGTAATCCCAGCAAGAGTATCACTTGAGGCCAAAAGTTTGAGACTGCAGTGAGCTATGATGGCATCACTGCACTACAGTTTGCAGGATGAACTAAGACCTTGTGTCTAAAAAAAAAAATACATTGAGAAATATTAGGGTAAACCACAGAATGGATAATATATATACATTAATATATGTATTAATATTTCTATAATAAATGTTGATATAGGAAGATATCTACATTGCATCATTGAGTGAAAAAGGGACATATATTATGATGCTATTTTTTTTTTTTGAGACAGGGTCTCACTCCTGTCGCCCAGGCTGGAATGCAGTGGCTTACTGTGGCCTTGACTTATGAGGCTGAGGTGAGTCCCACTTCAGCCTCCTGAGTAGCTGGGACTACAGATGCACACCACCACACCCGGCTAATTTTTTGTATTTTTAGTAGAGACAGGGTTTAGCCATGTTGCCCAGGCTGGTCTCAAACTCCTGGGCTCAACCAGTCTACCTGTTGGGATTACAGGAGGGAGCCACGGCACCCTACCTATGATGCTATTTTTAAAAAACAAATTATATGTGTACATGTGCATCAAAATATCTGAAAGAATATACATGAAAGATTTATAGGATTATTTCCAGGCATAAGGCTAATTTTCATTTCTTTTTGCTTTCAGCATTGTCTAAACTTCTTTATGATTGTCATATATTAATAGATTAGTTTTCTACAGAATTTTAAAAATATATAGTTATTTCCAGTCAGGGGAAAAAAAAGAAAATATTGAAACAAAATACCCAACATGTTAACAGTGGTTGCCTCTATACAGTAATTTATTTTCTTTTACCTTATACTTTTATGTTATTCATGCCAGCATTTCTTTCCTTCTTTCTTTTTGAGGAAGGGTCTTGCTCTGTTGCCTAGGCTGGAGTGCAGTGGTACAATCATGGCTTGACCTCCTGGGCTCAAGTGATCCTCCCACCTCAGCCTCTCAAGTAGCTGGGACTACAGGTGGACACCACCATGCCAGGTTAATTTTTGTATATTTTGTAGAGATGGGGTTTTGCATACTGCCCAGGCTGATCTCACACTCTTGGACTCGAATGCTCTTCCCACCTAGGCCTCCCAAAATGCTGAGATTACAGGTGTGAGCTACTGTGCCTGTCCAATATTTCTTTAAAGGAGATATATTTAGTCCTTCAATGTAAATATTGTTTAAAAAAGAAAAGAAATATTAATAGAAATGTTATCTTAAATATATTTTTATTAATAATTACTCCTTAAATTTTCATTTATATGATATTATTATGCCTACATCACCTTCATTTTGGCTGATATTTGCTTCTTACACCCTTTATTTTTAACCCCTCTGTGAGCCTTTGTTTAGGTATGTGTCATGTAATTTCAAGATCACATTGATTCTGATCATCTCTGTCTTTTAATTGTTGAGTTTAGCTTGATATGTGTTTGCCATGTGCCAATGTTTTCTGACACACTACCATCTTATTTTGTGTTTTCTATTCACATTTTTGTATTTCTCTTTTTTCCTCCTTTCCTGGTTCCTGTTAGGTTAACAAAAGATTTCCATTAGCCCACTTTTTTTTTTTTTTTTTTGTCACGGATGTCAAAAGCTATAGATTATATCTCTGGTTTTGCATGTTACCTTTAAGTTTTAAAGAACATATTTAACTTTATATTTTTAAACGATGTCTGACATTATTCGATAGTTCTATCATACTCCAGAACAGAACCTTAGCACAGACTATTTCTGTTTCACCTTCTTTAGCTGGGTCGCTTTTACCTAGATGTTTATTGCCTCACAGTTACAATATGGAGGCCGTAACTCCTTTAGGTATCAAGTTTACATTCAAGGCAGAAAAAAGGAGAAGAAAGGCTAAAAGTTATATCCATCCCATCGATTATGAAAGCAAAAATGTCCTTATATGCTACAAGTAGAATTCCAACTAGGTTGCATTGGTCAGAACCGAATCAAATGGCTACCCTAACTGCAAAGGAGGCTAGGAAAGGCAAGGCAATGAAAGTGTTTGCCAGTATATTAGAATTCCATTCCCACTGAGCAAAACTTGAAAATGGTGCCTAAAGACGGAACAAAATGCATCCCTTCTAAGGTCTTGCAGCAAGTCACCTCCCTTCCTTGTAAAATTAACACATTGGATTAGATTATCTTTGCTGGTGATATATGGTAATGAGGGCCTGGATCAGAATAATAATAGCAGAATAGAACGTATTTGAGAAATATTGAAAGGAAAATTCAACGTAAACTGAATGAGACCAGGCTTTTCAATAATTTGTACTTTTCCTTTCCATTTTTTGCAACACTACCTAGTCAATACCTATATCTAAGTTCCAATTGCTTTTGCCCGTTTATTCTAAGATTTGTGTGGTAGAACCAGCAGTGCTTTACCATCAACCTTTTTAGGATTCAGTTTCATCTTCTGTGAAAAAAAAAAGGAAGCTGGGATTATATGTCCTTTTTAGCTCTGAAGTTTGTTGATTCTTTTTAACAATTCAATTCAGCCAACATTTATGAAATACTTTATACACCTAAGGCATTCTTCCAGATGCTATGGGTGTATAAAGATGGATAGGATTTGTACTCTGACCTCAAGAGTTTACAATATAATAATTATGATTTAAAGATTTATCAACATCATCATCAACTATGTTCAGGCGTGCTCACTTCCAAAGCCTATCTGAACATTGTTAGAGCCTAGTGCACAGATATTTTGTAATTTGACTCTAGCTATTTCCATTTCCGCCTCCACGTAATTGAGGTTAAGAGTTTTTTGGAAGAAGAGAGACAGTATACAAAAAAGGAGCGGCAAGATTGGCTTCATTTTAATAGAGCCCATGAAAATGCAATGGAATAGGGTATGCAATAGCCTGTTAGTTAGAACCCATGCTTCACAATGGCTTACCAAGCAAGCTCTTGAGATGAAACATGTCTTGGTTCTGAGTGAGGAAGAGACTTTTTGTTTAAACTTGCATAAGTGCTCCCTATTTATTGAACATTTTAATAACTAAATAGGCCATGTTGAAGGTTTAACCAAAGTTGAATAAAACACTTTAATCTCATCACTCCTGAGTTAGAATTTAGAACAGGGCAGGTACTGAGGTGAAGCCCAGTCTGGAACCTTCTCTGAACTTCCTAGTCTCCAAAAGTGGATTAAAGCTCTTTGATCCCACAAGTGAACATACATGGGAGGTAACATTTTCTCATTTCTATTTTCTGTGCCAGATATTCTGCTCTGCCTCTTCAGATTCATTTCCCAAGCTTCTCCAGCCTACTCTTTGCCCCACGGGGTGATCTTTATAAACTCTATCAATGGTTACCTTGTCCCTTCTGATTTGGGTTCAACCAAGGGGAATGCCTATCAGGAGATATAAGGTCAAGAGGAAGTAATATCAGGTATTTACCCCCCAGGTTCTCCCAACTGTGGGGCTCTACTGAAGGCTGAGGTTGAGTCAGGCATCCCTCTCCTATGATTACAGTTCTCCCTCTGGGTTTTGGTGACCGATTCCTCCCTTTGTCTCTTTAGGCTCCTAGCTGTTGCTTACCCTACAGAGCCTTATCCTCCCTTATTATTTTCTCTTAATCCTGCCCCCATCCTCATAAATGGTTACTCCACCAAATTCTCCATTTTCCCTCTTCTGTGTGCCATCTGGCTCCTGCCAGGCTCTGACTGATACATTTTCCCAGGGAATTTCAAAGTAGCATCTGTGCTTCCAAGGATCACCAGCTCCCTCATCTCCCACACTGTACATAGAGTTTGTAATTTGAGTAGGTGCTTATGAGGCACTTATCTCAGGGGCTAGTAGATATTACTATATACTCAATAATTGTTACCTCCTTTCCGTTCCTGTCATCCCCAACCTAATACACAATTTAGGGTGTTTATTTGTATTTTTAAATTTTTCGTAGAGATGGGGTCTCGCCATGTTGCCCAGACTGGTCTCCAATTCCTTGGCTCAAGCGATCCTCCTGCCTCAGTCTCCCAAAGTGCTGGCATTACAGGTGGGAGCCACGGCACCCAGCTGAGGTAGGTATTATTATCCCTATTTTTTTTTTAAAATAGGTCCCATTGAGGTTAAGTAACGCTTGCTCAAAATGCACAGGAAGTGACAGAGTTGGATCTGAAACCAGTATCTATCACATGGAATCTTATCACACCACTTCTCACCACATCATGATGGAATCTTACTTACATTTGTTTCCCTCAGCACTGCCTCCTAAAATGGCCCCCACAGAGCAGCACATTAAAAATATTTGTTGAATAGTGGAATGAATACATTCTGTCATCACTTACACATTTATTTAGTTACTATATATGTTGAGGGAAAAAATAAACAGTATGATTACTAGTTTTGAATCTCATTAGCTCATAAAAGTCAATTGGTGATGTTGAAAAATAGTCCCACTCCTATTGATGTTAATGTGTTTGCTGATATGCAGCCCTTCACTTGGACTTTACATTTGAATTTCACCTTCAGTAATTTCCAGAAACAAATCATTAAAACCACAAAGACAAGTATAATTTTACAAAGCACAAAAAAAGACCACTTGTAATAAGCAACACACTTTAAAGTCATGTTAAGAACTGTTTATTTTTCAAACACATGTTCATACAAGTGCTGAAAAAGTATCTTATGGTAAAGTACAGAGTAGCTTTCAGATGATTTTATTTTTTAAATCGGGTGTGTGACTTATGATTACAAGTTTTAAATGCCAAACTCCATCCTGAGTCCAAATGTATGGTTATAATGCATAATAATATACCAAGTCTATGCTTTTTTATTTTAAAAAATAAAGTTACAAAATGTTTAAATTATAAAGTCAATAAATATATATTGTAACAATACTGAAAGCATAGAAATGTGTAAATAAATACAAAAATAAGGCCAGATATGGTGGCTCATGCCTGTAATCCCAGCACTTTGGGAAGCTGAGTCAGGAGATGCCTTGAGGCCAGAAGTTGGAGACCAGCCTGGGCAATATAGTGAGACCCTGTCTCTACAAAAAATTAGTTGAGTGTGGTGGCGAGAGCCTGTAGTTCCAGCTACTTGGGAGGCTGAGGTGGGAGGATCCCTTGAGCCCAGGAGTTTGAGGCTGCCCTGAGTTATGATCATACCACTGCACTCCAGCCTGGGTAACAGAGCCAGATCTTGTCTCTAGAAAGAATTTTTTAAAAATAAAAATAATAAGAAAATAAAATACCTATAATCACACTGCCCAAAACTAATAGTAACATTTGGATGTATTTTAATTCAATATTTTCTTTATGAGATAAACTTTTCTTTTGACCAGTATCTGATCACCCTGGTAGTATGTACAAGAGCATGTGATATGGGCTTAATGTGCAGCCTCCAACTTAGAATCTGGAGAGAATGTGTGAAGGAACCAAATTCAGAGTTATATGAAGTGGCTACAGCTGTCAAAGTTGCAGCAGTCTATCAGTGAGTGACCACAAGTGGTGGAGAACAATAAAGTGATATCAAGAGTCCAGTGACATGACACAAGTAGTAGCTTTCTAAGCAGTTTATCTCTGTGGCATGATCTTGACTCTATTATGCCTCATTTAGTTTCTGCCTGTTTTCTAAGCTTGGTTCTCAAGCTGCTTAGTCAATTTTGTGAGTTCACTGATAGTCTCACAATAAATCGCCTTACTGTTTATATCGGTTTGAGTCTTGTTTCTTTTACTTGCAGCTGAATGCATGTTAAATAATATATCAGTGTAAACTTCTGGATTTGCCAATGTTAGACCATTTTTAGCTATAAAAACAGCTGTCTCGGCTGAGCGCAGTGGCTCATGCCTGTAATCCCAGCACTTTGGGCAGCCAAGGCGGGCGGATCACGAGGTCAGGAGATTGAGACCATCCTGGCTAACACGGTGAAACCCCATTTCTACTAAAAATACAAAAACAAAATTAGCCAGGTGTGGTGGTGGGCGCCTGTAGTCCCAGCTACTCGGGAGGCTGAGGCAGGAAAATGATGTGAACCCGGGAGGCGGAGCTTGCAGTGAGCTGAGATAGCACCACTGCACTCCAGCCTGGGTGACAGAGTGAGACTCTGTCTCAAAACAAACAAACAAACAAACAAACAAAAACTGCTCTCTCATATGGTTCAACCTAACAGAATTTGGTAACAGGAATTGTGGTGCTTGAAATGTGGGATTGACTGAATCAAGGAGGGTCAGTAGAACATGGGATACACTTCTCCGAGCTTAGAATGTTTTTTAAATTTAGCCATAGTAAAATAATTGGTTTAATCAATTGTCTCTGAAGTGAGGTATACAAATCTATTCATCAGGATATTGAAAGTTACTCGATTATATACTTTTATATTTTTATTTTAAAAATTAAAAAATTTAGTTTAATATATGAATTGACACTGATGTCCTCACTCACTGATGTCAAATGGTTTCACATCACTAAGGGATGAGGCAGATATTAATCTAGGTTTTATGGGGCCTAATATTTCTATCCTTTGGGGGCTTTCTTAAAGAAAAAGAATTTTTTAAATGAATACAAAATAAGGTATGAACATAAATAGTTATTTAACAAGAAAAAACAGAAATTTCATGTGATTTTATCACAAAGAGAAAAAAGTGATCATTTTATGTGCCCCATTATTTAGTGTACTCCCTCCACTAGAGATTTCCATTTTGACTGGGCATTAATGAAAACCATATCTTCCACTTACAATTTTGCATGTCTCATGATTAAACTACTTTTCCACCTATTAGCATCTGGCTCTAGACATTTTAAACAGTTTCTCCTCAACTGCACACATACTTCTAGAGTCTACCATGGTTGGGCATACTCAGATCACAATAGGATCCCTGGCCTTGTATCTTTATATTACGGAAGCTGTGTGAGTCAGCACAGTGGCAGTAAAAATATTTCTGGGAATTATTACTATACCAAGATGGCTAACAATAACTTACACAGATATTTCCTATTAAACCCAAAGTAAATGTATCCCTTATTCAAATTCCACTTAGATCCAAAAAGATGCTGCTGCCCCTCCAACTCTACCCTACATGAGGGGATTTATGACAGAGAGGAAAGTAGAGTGAAAGGAAATAGTGGTCTTAAATAAACTGTGGAAAGTACCCATGAAAGTGAGGAGTTTTGAATCATTAACTACTTTAGCTGCCCAGTAATCCCTCCTCTGGTATTTGTGCAATTCCAAGGGAAGAGAAGTTCCACAAAGCAAAGGATTCTAAGGTGATTCCCTCAACCAGGCACATAATACATCTCACTTGCAGTGTAGTATGATACATGGCAGTTTATGAGAGCCCACATATTTAGACTTACAGACCATATTTTCTAGATTACCTAAATTAACCGTCACAAAGTGCCCATGCCCAAGTATCTTATACAGATTCCTAAAAAACCATGGTTCATAGCTAATACCAATAATGAAAGCACAGGTGAAAGACAAAAAAATGGCATGGCCAACGCTTGTGCTATTGCTGGTATGAATTTTTATCATCTGCATAATGAGATCAAAGTGATAATGTAATCAGATTTAACAAGATTTGGTCCCAAAACATCAAAATTTTGACTATTTGATAGAGTGGCTGAATGTATAAAAAACAAGACCCATTGATCTGTTGCCTAAAAGAGACACACTTCATCTGTAAAGATACACATAGACTGAAAATAAAGAGATGGAAAAAGATATTCCATGCAAATGGAAACCAAAAAAGAGCAGGAGTAGCTATACTAATATCAGACAAAATAGATTTTAAGACAAAAACTATAAGAGACAAGGTCACTATATGTATTAGTCTGTTCTCGCACTGCTATAAAGAAATGCCTGAAAATGGATAATTTATAAGAAAAGAGGTTTAATTGGCTTATGGTTCTGCAGGCTGTACAGGCTTCTGCTTCTGGGGAGGCCTCAGGAAACTTACAATCATGGCAGAAGGCAAAGGGGAAGCAGGCATGTCTGATATGGCCAGAGCAGGAGGAAGAGAGCAAGGGAGGAGGTACCACATACTTTTAAACAACCAGATCTCATGAGAACTCACTTATTATGATAACAGCAAGGGGGAAATCCACCCCCATGGTCCAGTCACCTCACACCAGGCCCTACCTCCAACATTGGGGATTATAAATTGACATGAGATTTGGGTGGGGACACAAGTCCAAACCATATCACTATATAATGGGGTATATAAAAGGGTAAGTTCAGCAAGAGGATATACTCATTTTAAATGGATATGCATCCAACACTGGAGCACCAAGATACGTAAAGCAAATATTATTAGAGCTAAAGAGAGAGATAGGCCCCAATACAATAACAGTTGGAGACTTCAACACCCCACTTTCAGCATTGGACAGATATTCTAGACAGAAAATCACCAAAGAAACATTGGACTTAATCTGCACTAGAGACCAAATGGATCTAATAGATACTTCCAGAACATTTCACCCAATAGCTGTAGAATAAATATTCCTTTCCTCAGCATATGGATCATTCTCAAGGATAGACAATATGTTAGGTCACAAACAAGTATTAAAACATTACAAAAATTCAAATAATATCCAGCACCTTCTCTGACCATAATGGAATAAAACTGGAAATTAATAAGAGGAATTTTAGAAACTATTCAAATACATAAAAATTAACCTATATCCTCCTGAATAACCAGTGGGTCAATGAAGAAATTAAAGGGGAAATTGAAAAATTTCTTGAAAAAAATTTCAACAAAAACAACATACCAAAATATATGGTGTACAGCAAAACAGTACTAAGAAGGAAGTTTACAGCTATAAGTGCCTACATCAAGAAAGAGGAAAACCTTCAAATAAACAATCTAACAATGCATCTTGAAGAGTTAGAAAAGCAAGAGCAAGCTAAACCCAAAATTAGTAGGAAAAAAAAGAAATAAAGATCAGAACAAAAACAAATAAAATTGAAATGGAAACAATACAAAAGGTCAAACTAAGAAGGAAGTTTACAGCTATAAGCACCTACATCAAGAAAGAGGAAAACCTTCAAATAAACAATCTAACAATGCATCTTGAAGAACTAGAAAAGCAAGAGCAAGCTAAACCCAAAATTAGTAGGAAAAAAAGAAAGATCAGAACATAAATAAATAAAATTGAAATGAAAACAATACAAAAGATTAATGAAACAAAAAGCTGGCATTTCGAAAAGTTAAACAAAATTGACAAACCTTTAGCTAGACTAAGAAAGAAAGAAGATACAAATAAATAAAATCTGAAATGAAAAAGGAGATATTAGAGCTGATACTGCAGAAGTTCAAAGGATTATCAGTGGCTACTATGAGCAACTCTATGCCAATAAATTTGAAAATCTAGAAGAAATAGACAAATGCCTAGATACATACAACCTAGCAAGATTGAACCAGGAAGAAATGTAAAACCAGAACATACCAATAACAAATAACAAGATTGAAGCTACAATAAAAAGCTCCCAGTAATGAAAAGCCCAAGACCTGAAGGCTTCATTGCTGAATTCCACCAAACATTTGAAGAAGAACTAATAACAATCTTATTCAAATTATTCCAAAAAATAAAGGCAGAGGAAATGCTTCCAAACTCATTCTATCAGGCCAATATTACCTTGATACCAAAACCAGGTAAACATCAAAAAAAAAAAAAAGAAAAAGAAAACTATAGGCCAATGTCTCTGATGGGTATATATATTTATATATGTATATATTTATATATAATATATATACACATATATATTTTATAAATATATACATATATTATATAATATGTACATATATACATATATTATATAATATGTACATATATACATATATGTATATAATATATACACATATAATATGTACATATATACATATATGTATATAATATATACATATATAATATAATATGTACATATATACATATATAATATATACATATATTATATAATATGTACATATATACATATATTATATAATATATACGTATATAATATGTACATATATACATATATTATATAATATATACGTATATAATATGTCCATATATGCATATATGTATATAATATATACGTATATATTATATAATATGTACATATATACATATATGTACATATTATATACGTATATTATATAATATTATAATATACGTATATAATATATACATATATTATATAATATGTACATATATACATATATGTATATAATATATACATATATTATATAATATGTACATAATATATACATATATTATATAATATGTATATATTATATAATATGTACATAATATATACATATATTATATAATATGTATATATTATATAATATGTACATAATATATACATATATTATATAATATGTATATATTATATAATATGTACATAATATATACATATATTATATAATATGTATATATTATATAATATGTACATAATATATACATATATTATATAATATGTATATATTATATAATATGTACATAATATATACATATATTATATAATATATGTATATATTATATAATATGTACATAATATATACATATATTATATAATATATGTATATATTATATAATATGTACATAATATATACATATATTATATAATATGTACATATATACATATATGTACATATACATAATATATACATATATGTATATAATATATACATATATATGTGTATATTATATACACATATATTATATGTGTATATTATATACACATATAATATATGTGTATATTATATACACATATAATATATGTGTATATTATATACACATATACACATATAATATATGTGTATATTATATACACATATACACATATAATATATGTGTATATTATATACACATATAATATATGTGTATATTATATACACATATAATATATGTGTATATTATATACATATATAATGTATACATATATAAAATATATGTACATATAAAATACATATAATATATAAAATATATATATACACATATACACACATATATATTTTGTTTTGTTTTGTTTTGAGACAGAGTCTCGCTCTGTTGCCCAGGCTGGAGTGCAGTGGTGCAATCTCAGCTTACTGCAAACTCCACCTCCTGAGTTCAAGCGATTCTCCTTCCTCAGCCTCCCAAGTAGCTGGGATTACAGGCATCCACCACAAAGCCCAGCTAATTTTTGCATTTTTAGTAGATAAGGGGTTTCATCATGTTGGCCAGGCTGGTCTCAGACTCCTGACCTCAAGTGATCTGTCCACCTCAGCCTCCCAAAGTGCTGGGATTACTGGCTTCAGCCACTTTGCCCAGTCTTTGATGAATATTGATTCAAAAATCCTCAGTAGAATAGTAGCAAACCAAATTCAATAATACATTAAAAAGATCATTCATCATGACCAAGTGGGATTTATCCCTGTGAGGCAAAGATGGTTCAACATACACAAATCAATCAATGTGATATATCAGCAGAATGAAGGACAAAAAACATAATCATTTCAATAATTGCAGGAAAAGCATTTGTTAAAATTAAACATCCCTTTACGATAAAAACCCTAAAAAAACTGTGTGTAGAGGAAACATACCTCAACATAATAAAGGCCATATATAACAGGCTCACAGCTACTATTATATAGAATGGAGAAAATCTGAAAGCCTTTTTTCTAAGATATGGGACACAACAAGGATGCCCACTTTTGCCACTGTTATTCAACATAGTACTGGAAGTCCTGGCTAGAGCAATCTGTCAAAAGAAATAAAGGGCATCCAAATTGGCAAGGAAGAAGTCAAACTATCCTTGTTTGCAGATGGTGTGATCTTATATTTGGAAAAATCTAAAGATTCCACCAAAAAAGTATTAGAATTGATAAACAAATTCAGTAATTTGCAGGATACAAAATCAACATGCAAAAATCAGTAGCATTTTTTATGCCAACAGTGAACAATCTGAAAAAGAAATAAAAAAGTAACTCCATTTATAATAGCCACACATAAAATATAGAAACATCTCTATAGATCTTTCATTTCTTTGGTTAAGTTAATTCCTGGGTATTTAATTAAATAAAACTATAAAAACTATAAAACACTGATAAAAAAATTAAAGAAGACACCAAAAATATGGAAAAATATTTGATGTTCATGGATTGGCAGAATCAATATTGTTAAAATGTCCATACTACCAAGCGAGTGAATTCTCATGAGATGTGGTTGAAAGTGTGTGGTACTTCCCCCTTTACACTCTTTCTCTCTCCTGCTGCCATGTAATATGTCTCTTGCTTCCCTTCATCTTTCCACCATGAATGATAAGTTTCCTAAGGCCTTCCCAGACATGCCTCCTGTTTCAGGAATTATGCCACCCATGATTCAATCACCTTCCACCAGGCCCCTCCCCTGACACGTGGGGATTACAATTTGAATGAGATTTGGTGGGGACACAGAGCCAAACCATATCAGAGGTGATTGGATCATGGGGGCAGATTTCCCCTTGCTGTTCATGTAGTTGTGAGTTCTCACAAGAGCTGGTTGTTTAAAAGTGTGTAGCACTTCCCACTTTACTCTCTTTGTCTCTTGCCACCATGTGAAGACACGTTTGCTTCCCCTTTGCCTTTCTGCCGTGATAGTAAGTTTCCTGAGGCTTTCCAAGCCATGCCTCCTGCAAAGCCTGAAGAACTGTGAGTCAATTAAACCTCTTTTCTTCATAAATTACCCAGTACCAGGTAGTTCTTTTTAACAGTGTGAGAACAGACTAATATGGAAAATTTGTACCAGATAAGTGGGGCATTGCTATAAAGATACCTGAAAATGTGGGAGCAACGTTGGAACTGGGTAATGGGCAGAGGTTGGAATAGTTTGTAGGGCTCAGAAGACAGGAAGATGAGGGAAAGTTTTGAACTTCCTAGAGACTTGCTGAATGGCTGCGACCAAAATACTGATAGTGATATGGACAGTGAAGTTCAGTCTGAGGATGTCTCAGATGGACATGAATAACTTATTAGGAACTGGAGTAAAAGTTGCTTTTGCTGTGCTTTAGCAAAGAGATGGATGGCATTGTGCCCTTGCCCTAGGGATCTGTTGAACTTTGAGCTTGAGAGAGATAATTTAGGGTATGTGGTGGAAGAAACTTCTAAGCAACAAAGCATTCAAGTTTCCACCTGGCTGCTTCTAACAGCATATGCTCATATGTGTTCACAAAGAAATGGTCTGAAATTAGAACTTATATTTAAAAGGGAAGTAGAGCATAAAAGTTTGAAAAACTTGCAGCCTGACCATGTGCTAAGAAAAACAACAACAACAACAACATTTTCTGGAGAGGAATTCAAGGCTGCAGAAATCTGTATAAGTAAAGAGAAGCCAAATTTTAATAGTCAAGACAATGGGGAACATGTTTCCAGGGCATTTCAGAGACCTTCACAGCAGTCCCTCCCTTCACAGGTCTGAAGGCCTAGGAGGGAAAAATGGTTTTGCAGGCCAGGCCCAGGGCCCCACGGCTCTGTGCAGCCTCAGGACATGGCATCCTGTGTCCCAGCTGCTCTATCTCCAGCCATGGCTAAAAGGGGTCAAGATACAGCTCAGGCCATTGCTTCACATGGTGCAAGCCCCAAGCCTTGGCAGCTTCCATGTGGTGTTGGGCTTGTGGGTATGCAGATGCCAAGAGCTGAGGTTTGGGAGCCTCTGCCTAGATTTCAGAGGATGTACGGAAATGCCTGGATGTCCAGATAGAAGTCTGCTGGAGGGGCAGAGCCCTCATGGAGAACCTCTACAAGGGCAGTGCAGAGGAGAAATGTGGGGTTGGAGCCCCTAAACAGAGTCCCCACTGGGCACTGCCTAGTGGAGCTGTGAGAAGAGGGCTACTGTCCTCCAGTCCCCAGAAAGGTAGATCCACCAACAGCTTGCACCATACACCTGGAAAAGCTGTAGACACTCAACACCAGCCCATGAAAGCAGCCACAGGGGCAGAGCTGCCCAAGGCCTTGGGCACCCCTTGCATCAGTGTGACCTGGATGTGAAACATGAAATCAAACAAGATTATTTTTGAGCTTTAATATTTAATGACTGCCCTGCTGGGTTTTGGACTTGCATGGGGCCCCTTTGTTTTGGCCAATCTCTCCTTCTTGGAATTGGAGCATTTACCCAATGCCTGTACCACCTTTGTATCTTGGAAGTAATTAACTTATTTTTATTTTACAGGCTCATAGGTGGAAGGGAGTTGCCTTGTGTCAGACAAGACTTTGGACTTGAATTTTGAGTTAATGCTTGAATGAGTTAAGACTCTGGGGTACTATTGGGAAGGCATGATTGGTTGTGAAATATGAGAAAGACATGAGATTTGGGAGGGGCCAGGGGTGGAATAATATGGTTTGTGACTGTGTCCTTACCCAAATCTCATGCTGAATTGTAAACCCCAATGTTGGGGGAAGGACCTAATGGGAGGTGACTGAATCATTGCTGGGGCAGATTTCCCCCTTGATGTTCTCATGATAGTGAGTGAGTTCTCATAAGATCTGGTTGTTTAAAAATGTGGCACTTCCCCCTCACTTGCTCTCTCCTGCCACCATGTGAAGACCTGCTTGCTTTCCCTTCGCCTTTCTGCCATGACTGTAAGTTTCCTGAGGCCTCCCCAGCAATGCCTCCTGTACAGCCTGTGGAACTGTGAGTCAATTAAACCTCTTTTTTTTCACAAATTACCCAGTCTCAGGTAGTTCTTTATAGCAGTATGAGAATGGACTTATATAACAACACACAGAATGGGAGAAAATATTTGCAAACTACCCATCTTTATTATCCAAGGATTAATAAACAGAATATATAAGGAGCTCAAATAACCAAAGAAAAAATCTAATAATCTGATTTAAAAATGGGCAAAAAGTCTGACTAGACATTTCTCAAGACATACAAATGACAAACAGGTATATGAAAAATTGCTCAACATCACTGATCATCAGAAAAATGCAAATCAAAACTACAATGAGACATCATCTCACCCCTGTTAAAATGGCTTTTATCTCAGACGGGAGATAACATGTTGGCAAGGATGTAGAGAAAGGGGACACTTGTACACTGTTGGTAGGAATATAAATTAGTAAAACCACTATGGTCAACAGTTTGGAGGTTCCTCTGAAAACTAAAAATTGAGCTATCATATGATCCAACAATCCCATTGCTGGGTATATACCCAAAAGAAAGGAAATTAGTTTATCAAAGAGATATCTGCACTCCTATTTTTGTTACAGCACTATTTACAATAGCTAAAATTTAGAAGCAACCTAAGTGTCCATCAATAGATGAATGGATGAAGAAAATGTAATACATATATACAATGAAGTACTATTCAGCTACAAAAAAAAAAAATGAGATCCTGTCATTTGCAACAATATGCATGGAACTGGAGATCATTATGTTAGGTGAAATAACCCAGGTACAGAATGAAAGACAAACATTGCATGTGCTCATTTATTTATGGGATCTAAAAATCAAAACAATTGAACTCATGGACATACAGAATAGAAGGATGGTAACCAGAGGCTGGGAAGGGTAATGAGAGTTTGGGGGTCAAAAGTGGATAAGTTAATGGGTACAAAAACATAGAAAGAATGAATAAGACCTACTATTTGACTAGGGTGACTATATAGTCAATAATAATTGTATATTTATAAATAGCTAAAAGAATGTAATCAGATTTTTTTAACACACAGCATGAACGCTTGAAGGAATGGATATCCATTCTCTCCATGATGTGATTATTTCACATATTGCATGTCTACATCAAAACATCTCATGTACCCCATAAATATATACACCTACTATGTACACACAAAAATTAAAAATGTTAAAATGTTAAAAAATCAAAATGAAGACTTTGAAATATGGATTAAATCCACTAATAATAATATAAGGCCTTTATGCATGGCAAGATATTAAAAAACTCATTTCATGGTTTAAAATTGTATGTTTGTGTTCATAGTGTCAACATAAGTTTTAATAAAATAATGTTTAAATTTACATGTATTATGGCTGCATGTTTTCAAATGTTATACTGATACAGGTATTTTAATTAAATTTTTTCTTTTTTTTTTTTTGAGATGGAGTCTTGCTCTGTCACCCAAGCTGGAGTGCTGTGGCACGATCTCAGCTCACTGTAACCTCTGCCTCCCAGGTTCAAGTGATTCTCCTGCCTCAGCCTCCGGAGCAGCTGGGATTATAGACGCATGCCACCATGCCTGGCTAATTTTTGTACTTTTAGTAGAGATGGGGTTTTACCATGTTGGTTGGGCTTGTCTCGAACTCCTGACCTCGTGATCCGCCTGCCTCAGCCTCCCAAAGTGCTGGGATTACAGGCGTGAGCCACTGCACCTGGCCAATTAAATTTTATTTTTAATTTTCTTTTCTGTTTTTAGAGAAGAGGTCTCACTTTGTCACCCAGGCTGGAGTGCAATTGTGTAATCATAGCTCACTACAGCCTCAAACTCCTGGGTTCAAGAGATCCTCCTGTCTCAGCCTCCAGAGCAGCTGAGACAACAGGTGCAAACCACTGTGCCTGACTAGAAGTGAGTATTTTTTAAAGTTTGGGACCACTGGGCTAAACTATGGCCTGTAGCATATTGGAATGCAAATCATGTCCCTGTGGATATTATGGCATTGACTTATTGGCGTAAACTGGAATGATAGCAAGTGTAAAATATTTATGGATTTGCATTTGTCTTCCCTAACCATGATGACTTTATATATGGTCGTCTAATAAGTAGAATATGTCAGACATTCTTTGAGATGTCTGTCTAGCTCAAAGCTACCATCTTTCACTGAGAATTCTCCACCATTTCCTGACTTACAGGGTAGGATTTGTCAGCCATGTTTTTACTCTGGACTCCATTCCCTTTAAAAACCTTGATTGGCATGGGAGTAGAATCTCATAAAAATTGGGTTAAACAGTTCCTTTTTCCTTAGATTTTTTCTTCCAGCACAGAAAACCTTACTTTGGCATTCCTTAGATTTTGTAATTGAAACTAAGACTGCTGAATATTTGCTTAAATGGTGGTTGTTTGAACCCTGGAACTTGCATTGAGGTTGCATTGTTGCATTGCCATGCACATGGAAAAGGAGAGAAAGCTCTTCTGTACAGAGAAAAAGCAGACATACAGAGAACCTTAGAACATTACTGCTTTCCAACCTCTTTCCTGCTCATCTTAAATATTTGAGTTTACATTATTTTAATTGCTGGAAGTGGGCCACAGCCAGAATATATAACACATAACAATCCCAATGGAATTCCAGATATGGGAATTATCAAAGACCCCAGATTGTAAACCAATGATGCCTACTATATTCAAAGAGATAAAAGCCAAAACTGACAATTTTGGGAAATAATTAGATGCCATAAAAACGAACCTAAGAGATTTTTAAAAGAATCAAGTAGAAATTCTAGAATCTAAAATTACAAAAAACACAAAATTAATGTCTCAGTAGATGAGATTAACACCATAGGAGGGAGAATTAGTAAACTAGAAAATATATCAGAAAAAAAGCTACCTACAATGAAGCATGGAGAAAGGAAAGGATGGAAAACTTTTAAAAAGAGGGTAAGAGAAATAGTGGATAGAATAAAAAGATCTAAAATACACACACATACATATGTATAGGTACATTTGATACTAAAATATATATAGCATATATATTATATATTAAAATATATATAGCATATATATTATATATTAAAATATATATAGCATATATATTATATATTAAAATATATGTAGCATATATATTATATATTAAAATATATGTAGCATATATATTATATATTAAAATATATGTAGCATATATATTATATATTAAAATATATATAGCATATATATTATATATTAAAATATATATAGCATATATATTATATATTAAAATATATATAGCATATATATTATATATTAAAATATATATAGCATATATATTATATATTAAAATATATATAGCATATATATTAAAATATATATAGCATATATATATTAAAATATATATAGCATATATATTATATATTAAAATATATAGCATATATATTATATATTAAAATAGATATAGCATATATATTATATATTAAAATAGATATAGCATATATAATATATTAATATATATAGCATATATAATATATATTTCATATATATAGCATATATATTATATATTTAAAAATATATAGCATATATATTATATATTAAAATATATATAGCATATATATATATATTTTTTTTTTTGAGACGGAGCTTTGCTCTTATTGCGCAGGCTGGAGTGCAATGGTGCGATCTTGGCTCATTGCAACCTCTGCCTCTCAGGTTCAAGCGATTCTCCTGCTTCAGCCTCCTAAGTAGCTGGGATTACAAGCACGCGCCACCATGCCCGGCTAATTTTGTATTTTTAGTAGAGATGGGGTTTCACCAGGTTGGTCAGGCTGGTCTTGAACTCCTGACCTCAGGCAATCCACCTGCCTCAGCCTCCCAAAGTGCTGAGATTATAGGCATGAGCCACTGTGCCCGGCCACATATATTTAATTGGAGTCAGGGAAGGAGAGAAGAGAGTGGAGGCAGAAACAATATTTGAAGAGGTAATGGTTGAGAATTTTCCAGAACTCATGAAACACATTAATCTATATATTCAAGAGGTTCAGTGAATCCCAAGCATCACAAATAACAAGAAATACACTTCCAAGCACACATGGTAAGAAAACAGAGAACTAAAATCTAAGAAAAATCTTAGCAACCAGAAAAAAAAGGACCAATTAACTTCAAAGAGGCAATAGTCAATTGACAGCTGACTTTTTACAGACAACGATAGAAGTCAGAGCCTTGAAATAATTTTTTTTTTTTTTTTGGAGGGTCAGGGTCTCACTCTGTCACCCAGGCTGGAGTGCAGTGGTGCAATTATGGCTCACTGCAGCCTCAACCTCCCAGTCTCAAGTGATCCTCCCACCTCAGCCTCTTGAGTAGCTGGGACTACATGTGCACGCCATTATGCCTGGCTAATTTTTTAATTTTTTTGTAGAGACAAGGTATCCCTATGTTGCCCAGGCTGGTCTCAAACTCCTGGGCTCAAGCAATTTTCCCTCCTCGGCATCCCAAAGTTCTGAGATTACAGGCATGAGCCACCATGCTGGCTGGAATGGTTTTTAATTGTATTGAAAGAAGATAAACTGCAATAGAAATCCTTGCATCTTCTCTGATTCTATTGCTTCCCTCTTTCACTTCTAAAGACCCTTGCAAATTACTTTGAGCCTACCGGACAATCAAGGTATCCCTATCCCTACCTCAAGATCCTTAACTTAATCATATCTGCAAGGGTAACATATTCACAGATTTCAGGGATCAGAATATGAACATCTATGGTGGGCCATTATTCTACCACACCACCAATCTAGAAAATACTCTCACCTTTAAACGTCAGTGTCTCTTTTCTTCTATAATGCCCCAAGAAAGAAAGTGAATCAGTATTTAAATACTGATTCTTGGAACAGGACAGGACACTTTGCATATTAACTCATATTAACTCATTTAAAGTATCACCAACCTTCAACCTTGGTGAGGTAGATATTATTGCTTGGATTTTAAAGATTCTGAGATTGAATATGAGAGTTGAAAACTTGACTGAGGTCATCTAGCTGATAAAATGTCTGATTAGAAATGGGTACCCAGATCACCAGACTGGCCTCCAGGACTGCAACCATGCTTTTTCCACCATACCAAGTGCAGATTGAGTCTTTTTTATGCAAAAATGCTTGGATTTGAGGGGATTTTGGAATATTTGCATATACATAAATTATCCAGGAGATGGGACCCAAGCCTAAACGAAATTCATTTATGTTTCACATATACCTTATACACACAGCCTGAAGATTATTTCATACAATACTTTTAGTTATTTTGTGCATGAAAAAAAGTTTTGATTGCATTTTTGACTGCGACCTGGCAAATAAGATCAGGTGTGGAATTTTCCACTTGTGGCATCATGTCAGTGCGCAAAAAGTTTCAGATTTTGGAGCATTTCAAATTTTTGGATTAGAGATGCCCAACCTTACAGATGTTGTTTGGGTTATTCTATGAATGATTTCTGGCCAGTTTCTCAGGAAACACGCTCTACTACAGTATATTTTTTAATGAGTGAAAAAGAAATTAAGAATGGAGGGGAAAGTTTCAAACTGGAGAGACATCTTTGAGTAAAGTATCGTGGCTGAATGTTCCTACCTTTATTGACCATGTGACCTGGTTAAATCACTTAGGTTCTATTAGGCCTCAGTCTTCTCTTCTGTAAAATGAGATGTTTAGACCTAAGGACACCTTTCCAGTTCCCTTCCCGTTGGGACATTCTAGGATTCTGAGAGAGAAGCCCCCCTGGCCTCAAGATACCTCCACTCTCTTGGGTGTGCTCTAAGATGACTGCATTCATGTTAGAAGCATCTGAACTACGCCAGAGACAACCTACTGTAGATCTAAGGAAGAAAAAATGAATGGCAATGAATGCGAGAGGAAGGTGGGGGGGAAAGAAGCCCACGAAGATTAGAGATGGAAATGGCAACATAAACAGCATGCAAAGATAACCACTGACGGGTATCTAGCGTTTACGATGCAAATAAAACTCTGCTGGTCTCTGAGGATGCAGAAACAAGACATTGTTTTTGGTCTTAAGCCGTTCACAGAATGCCCGGGGGTTACACTTTGCATTTAAGCACGGACATATAACTTCCACCTTTAAAAGTCCTGGATGTGAGAAAGATAAGAACAACGGATAAATGAAAATATTAACAAAACGTCTGAGTATGCCAGAGGCCACGTGAAAAGACGGTGTGTGGAAACAGGTGGGACCCACTGCTAAGCTGGATGCGCGAGTAGGACAAAAAAATTGGCCCCCACTCCCGGGCCTCACCCAGACACAAAAGAAACGTCCTCTGCCCTCAGAGGCGCAGCCTTTCCTCAGCCAGCAGAGCGGCTGGGCTGCAGAGTCCCCGCCCCCGGCCGGCCCCTGTCGCCCGCGCCTCCCTCCCTCGGGCCTCGGAAGTGACGCAAGCGCCCCCCCACCGCCGCTAGATCCGCTGCTGCTGCCGCGGCGGGCAGACCTGCAGGAGGCGGCGGCGGCGGCGGCGGCCGAGGCTGAAGGAAGATGGCGGACGGCGTGGACCACATAGACATTTACGCGGATGTCGGCGAAGAGTTCAACCAGGTACGTGAGAGCCCAGGTCCCCGCCGCCGACGCGGGCGGCGCTGCGGCCGGGAAGCTGACCCGGGGCCCGCTGCGGCCGCGAGCCGAAGCGACTGCAGAGTGTGCGCCCTTGCCGCCTCTGGGCCGCGCCGCCGACCCCTGGCGTGGCGCCCCCCCGCCCCTCGTTCTACCGCGTCGTTTCACGGGCCGCGGGCGCGGCGAGTCGCCGCGGGGCCCGGAGCGCGGACGCGGGCCGCTGTGCAGCTGCCGCCGGCTCCTCCCTCGCCGGCGCTGCCTCGCTCCCTATTGTTGGCGGCACCCGGCTGGCGCTTCCCGCCGCGCTAGGCCCGGGCGGTGGGGCCGCGTGTAAGCGGCGGAGAGAACTGGCCGCCGCCGCGCCCCCTCCCCCGTCGCTGGTCGGAGGAGGAAGCCCTGGCGGGGCGCGTGCCCGCCGCCGCCGCCCCTTCCCCGCCGCTGCCGCTCGGGCTCCGATTCCTCCCATCGCTCCATTTTGTCTCCCTGCCCGCGCACTGTCGCCTCATGGAAGGCCGCGTTCACGGCCCTTTGTATCCCGCGCGCCCAGTCCCCGGGGCTCTCCTTCTCGGGTTTGCGACAGGTTTCGGCGTGGCGCCTTCCTCCTCCCCTCACACTTTCTGAAGGCGACTGAGGTGCGGGCTCATTTGCAACAAGTCCTTTGACTTTTGGAGCCACAGATAAAAGTCGGTGCGCTGGTCCTGCCTCATTAATCCAGGGCTTGCAGTGCTTTGAAGCCCAGTCGTTGTTGGCCTTTGTGATGAAAATACCTGTGAAGATGAGTGGCCGGGGACCAAAAGGAAGAATTGGAAGCGCGATGGTTGGATGGAACAAAAAGATGTTAGCTCACCCACAGATCTCATAGTGATTAAAATGAAAGAACGTTCACCCCAAATCCTTATGATGTGGTTTAAAAATAAAGAGTTATAGATAAGACCCTATTTTCGAAAACAAAGTGTTAAATCCCCCCACCCCCACCCCCGGGCCCCGTGTTACCTTTTGAAAGGTTGAGCGAAAGTGAGAATGCAAGGTTTTCCTGAACGACGTTGCTTAGAGGTAACGCGGGGCTGTGATGTCTGTTAATGGGCATCCTTGCAAAAGATGTCGTTTGTTGCTAGTGACGTTTAAGGTTTGAACCTGCTGTTCGTATCTACTGCATTTTATGTAGTAACACATTTAAAACAATTAAATTGTGCTTAACTGCAATGTTCCTAAAAGCCTTATTTTTTTGTATTTCCCAGGTCCCTATGAGAAGTTTAATGAAATATTACTGGCTAATGTGGTTTTCCCACCTCCATTAACCATCATATTCGTGACTAGTTGCTCAGGCTTTTTAAAAAACAAGGAAACTCAAGAGATCTTTACTGTTTTATTTTTCAGGAATGACTTTGTGCCTCTGGTTTAAATATTAGAAAACAGAAAAATACCAGTTGGCTTTAAATGTTTGCTATTCAGTTAAAGACTGGATTTGTTTAAATGTAATACATTGTAATCAAAGGTTAAGTTTTTAAATCTTTGTGTTTTTAAAATTGTGCTTATGTTTTAAATAATAATACTTGAGTTGTGTCCATTACAAATCAGATACATTCCTCGAGTGCAACACAGGTTCTAACGCTTATAAGACCTCTAGGAAATTTTTTTCCTTTTATTTATCAAATGAATATAACTGCGTTTAAAAGAGGGCTGTAACTGCAAGGAACAACGATTGAGTGTTCAAGACTGCCTTTATTAGCTTTACTTACAAGATAATACATTGGTTCACCTTTCTATGCACAATAAAAGAAGAATTGGGTCTCAATTTTAGAAGTTAAGCTTTTTTCAGTACCTCTTAATGAAATATTTTTAGGCTTTTGCATACTTAATTTGAGAGGGACATCTCCCTTATCCGGATAGCTGGGTGGATTCTTATCCCTGTGCAGTAGCAAGTGCTGACTGGGCAGGAGGTAAAAAGAGATTAGTTTTGTGGACCCAATGAGGAACTCCTTTTAAATGTAAGTTTTCAATGATTTGTATAAGGTACCTACTGCATTACGTCTAACACAGTTGTATAATTTTACCAGTAAAATCTTTATATGTTTGAATAGATTAATGGCGAGGATAAATAGAGGCATTGTTTTTGCTACTTTGCATATCATTGGCCAATCAATGATTGATTGATTTGTATATCCTTTTACATTACCGCTTCTTGCTGTGGTAGTTTCTGTACCAAAAAAAAAAAAAAGGTCACAAAAGGATAGTTGGTTATTTTCAGAGCTTATCTTGTTTTTAAAAATATGTTACTGTCATTGAAATATTTTTCCAAAATCTTACCAGAATTAGAGGCAACCACAAAATAATTTACAACTGATTTAATCTTTACTAGCTGGCGACCTTATTTCTACTAGTTGCTATAGTAGACTAGAACTCTTGTTTTATTGTCGTTGAGTAAAATACTAAATAGTAGCCAGTTTTGACTTACTTTGGCTTCAAAGCTGTTGTAAACATTAAAAAAAAAATCTTTGTTTTCCAGTGTAAACTGCAGTTCTCATTGGATTTGTATACTTTGAAATTCGGGATAGTCTTTATTTCCATTTTCTACTATTTTTTGTCTGTATCCTGCTGAGTCTTCTATTTTAAATGTCATACTTTTATGAAGCTTTTTTGTATTTTGGTAAGGCACAGTATTATTTCAAAAAGTGATTTGCATCTATTGAAGTAGAAAAAAGTGAGGCATTCAACAGTCTTAGCAGAAACTAATTTGGGGATAGATTGAGAATAATAAATTAGTGAAGCTCTAATAGAGTGCCTTTCTTCACCAGGTGAACTTAAGAATGGAGAATGAAGGGGGGAGGAGGCACAAGGGACTGGCTACTCCTTATGGGTTCTCTTTAGTTCTTAGAGGTCTTTGGATGTCACCAAGCTGAGAACAGCTGGAAGGGGAATTTGAACATCTTCCAAACCTCTCTATTACTTGAAGTTGAGAAGAAAGTGATTCTGTCTCACAGTAGCATATCAATTCAGTTTAAACTGCATTTATACTCAAGTGTAGTAATTACTAGCCCAATATTTAGTAATTGTAGATTTTAAAATTCTGGCCAAAACTAAATAATTTAAAAGTTGAATTGTTTAGCGCGAGTGTGGTGGCTCATGCCTGTAATCCCAGCACTTTGGGAGGCCAAGGTGGGCAGATCGCTTGAGGTCAGGAGTTGCAGACCAGCCTGGCCAACATGGTGAAACCCCATCTCTATCAAAATACAAAAATTGGCCGAGTATGGTGGTGCCTGCCTGTAATCCCAGCTAATCAGTAAGCTAAGCAGGAGAATCGCTTGAACCTGGGAGGCAGAGGTTGCAGTGAGCCAAGATCGGGCCACTGCACTCCAGCAAGACCCTGTCTCAAAAAAAAAAGATTGAATTGTTCAAAATACATTTGTTGAGTGTCTGTTATGTGCCAACAACGAGGGATACAAAGTTTAGGTAGTCTCTACCCTTAGAGTACACTGTAGGGGAGCTGAGAGATACCTACATACAGTAGTGCACACGTATCCACAGTTCCACTTTCTGTGGTTTCAGTTACCCGTGGTTCTGAGGTCTGAAAATATTACATACAATAAGGTAGTTTGAGAGATACTATATTTAGCTAACTTTTATGACAGTAAACTGTTCTACAATCATGTGTCGCTTCACGATGGCGGTATGTTCTGAGAAGTCCATCTTA
Source organism: Homo sapiens (assembly GCF_000001405.40). NCBI lineage: Eukaryota > Metazoa > Chordata > Mammalia > Primates > Hominidae > Homo > Homo sapiens. The sequence goes on from NC_000012.12 coordinate 69,243,413, forward strand.
GGTGCTTTTGTCATTTGTGATCATAGAGTGCTTTTGCATTTCAAACCTGGAAGGTACAGCCTACTACACATGTAGGCTATATGGTGTAGCCTGTTGCTCCTAGGCTACAAACTTGTACAACATATTACTGTACTGAATACTGTAGGCAGTTGTAACACAGTGGTATTTGTGTATCTAATATATCTAAACAGAAAAGGTAAGTGAAAATCTTGATATAAAAGATAAAAAGTGGCACACTTGTGTAGGGCACTCATGAAAGGAACCTGCATGATTGGAAGTTGCTCTGGGAGAGTCAGCAAGTGAGTGGTGGGTGAATGTGAAGATCTGGGACATGCTGCTGTAGACTTCATAAACACTGTACAGTACACTCAGGCTACACTAAATTTATTTAAACTTTTTTCTTCAATAATACATGAGCTTACTGTAATGTTTTCACTTGATTGATTATTTTCTCACTGTCATCCAGTCTGGAGTGCGGTGGTGCAGTTGTGGCTCACTGCAGCCTTTATCTCCCAGGCTCAAGCAGTCCTCCTGTCTTAGTCTCCAGAGCAGCTGAGACTACAGGCATGTGCCACCATGCCTGGCTAATTTCAAATTTTTTTTGTAGGGATGAGGTCCCAGCTAGTCTCCAGCTCCTGGGCTCAAGCTGTCTTCTTGCTTTGACCTACCAGTGTTGGGATTACAGGCGTGAGCCACTGTGACTGGCCCGTTTTTACTTTATAAATTTGGACTCTTCAATAATAACAGTTTAAAATACAAACACATTGTGTAACTATATAAAATATTTTCTTTATATCCTTATACTGTAAACTTACTTCTTTTTTTTGTTTTGTTTTGTTTTGAGATGGAGTCTCGCTTTGTCACCCAGGCTGAAGTGCAGTGGCGCGATCTTGGCTCACCGCAACCTCTGCCTCCTGGGTTCAAGCAGTTCTCCTGCCTCAGCTGGGATTACAGGCACTCACCACCATGCCTGCCTAATTATTGTATTTTTAGTAAGAGACGAGGTTTCACATGTTGGCCAGGCTGGTCTCGAACTCGTGACCTCAAGTGATCCTCTTGCCTTGGCTTCCCAAAGCGCTGGGATTACAGGCATGAGTCACCACACTGGGCCTAAACTTTTTTCTATTAAATTTTTTTTTTTAACTTTTAAAATTAATTTTATTTTAGAAGAGACAAGGTCTTACTGTGTTGCACAGGTCTCAAACTCCTGGCCTCATGTGATCCTCTTGCCTCAGCCTCCCAAAGGAGGCTGGAATTACAGGCATGAACGACTGAACCTGGTCTTTTTTTTTTTAAGCTTTTTTTAAAAACTAAGATATACACACATTAACCTAGGCCTGCACAGGGTCAGGATTATCAATATCACTGTCTTCCATCTCTGCATCTTGTCCCACTGGAAAGGTCTTCAGGGGCAGTATGATGCATGGGCTGTCATCTCCTAGGATAACTGCCTTCTTCTGTAATACGTGGTGAAGGACTGACTTGCCTGAGGCTGTTTTACAGTTAACTTTTTGAAGTAGGAAGAGTACACTCTAACATAATGATTAAAAGTATGGTATAGTTGGCCTTGGTGTGGTGGTTCACACCTGTAATCCCAGTGCTTTGAGAGCCTGAGGCGGCAGATTGCTTGAGGCCAGGAGTTCGAGACCAGCTTGGCCAACATGTCGAAACTCCGTCTCTATTTAAAAAAAAAAAAAAAAAAGTGTAAAAACAAAAAAGTATAGTATAATAAATACATAAACCAGTAACACAGTCGCTTATTGTCAAGTATTGTGTACTGTACATAATTGTATGTGCTATTCTTTTATATGACTGAGAGCACAGTAGGTTTGTTCACACCAGCATTACGAGCCCAAACGTGAGGAATGCATTGGGCTAAGATCGCTAAACAATAGTAATTTTTCAGCTCCATTATAATCTGACCACCTGGACCAAAACATTGTCATGCATGACTAAATTGTTCTCTTTTATTAGTTATTTTTTACAGTGCCTACTTTATAAATTAAACTTTATCGTAGGTATATATAAAGAAAAACATAGTATATTTAGGGTTCCTTGCTTTCCGTGGCTTTAGGCATCCACTGGGGGTCTTGGAACATATCCCTCTCAGATAAGAGGGGACTACTATAATTATAGCACACTGACAGGTCCTATATTGTAGTTACCATTCTTTTATGTTTTATGTGTAAAGTTTTGTTGATCTGGAGAGGAAAGTCAAAAAAATTCTGTGAACTTTAGGGAAACTTACACTGCTTGCATTGAAGTAGTATGTTTTGTTGCTTGTTTGGGAGTCAGAAACTCTTAATGTGGAATTTAGTTTCTGCTCTGTCAGGCCATCACCGATAGCACAAATTTAGTAATCTGACCACCCAGCTTTAAAATGGAAGTGTAGGCCAGGTGCGGTGGCTCATGCCTATAATTCCAGCAGTTTGGGAGGCTGAAGTAGGCGGATCACTTGAGGTCAGGAGTTTGAGACCTGCCTGGCCAACATGGCGAAACCCCTGTCTCTACTAAAAATACAAAATTTAGCCAGGTATGATAGTGCACACCTGTAATTCCAGCTACTTCAGAGGCTGAGGCAGGAGAATTGCTTGAACCTGGGGGGCAGAGGCTGCAGTGAGCTGAGATCAGGCCACTGTACTCCAGCCTGAGTGACAGAACGAGACTTTGTCACACACAAAAATAGATTAATTACTTTTAAAAGAATGGAGGTGTATAGAGGCAGTAGTTGGAACAAAGAATTCACTTAGGAGTTACGGACCTGGACATCCGATAAGTCAGTTTTTATGTCATGAATCATTTTGCTTTACGTTCAGTCATTATGTATGTATTCTAGCCAATTGTTGAGCCAATTAATGAAAATAAATTTCTTGGACAAATATCAGAGAAACATTGTTTATGATTTATTTATGTTTACTAGAAAACCATCTGAAATAAAGCTGTCAGGTTGAGAATGAGCTAGGTAGAATTGATTCAGAAAAATGGATAGAAATGTTCAGGGAAGCTAGAACTCTTCTCTATTTTGTTATTTATGGGTGCAGTTAATTTAGTTGCCTGTGAATTGTCCACTATGGTTTATGTGGCATATTTTTAGTACCAAATTCCTTACCATTATATAAGGAAGGGATTTTTACAGGGATTACTAGCCAGTTTTAATAACTACTGAGAACATAATTAGATAAAACCAGAAAATGATATATTTTCTTTAAAAATGTATGCATTAGGTTATCTGCTATTGGATTTTGCATACTAGTATTTCTTTTCCGAGGTATAGGATATATTTTGTAAATGCAAAATGTAACTTCCCCCCTTCATATATTTCTCTAAATGGAAATAATTTAAAATAGGCTTTGAAACAAGTGGCCTTTGCTGTGCATTTACTGATAGTATCATATAATGCACGAATTTTGTATGTATTTATGTATTTTTATGGTAGAGATGGGATCTTCCTAAGTTGCCCAGGCTGGTCTTAGACTCCTGGGCTCAAGGGATCCTCTTGCCTTGGCCTCCCAAAGTGGTGGGATTAACAGGCATGAACCACCATGCCTAGCCTCGAATGATATTACTGTAATTTTAGAACCATCAAAAAAATATCAGGCCTGTCAGGGAGAATGATGAATATTTTGACAGCCAACAAGTTCATCCCAATAGTGGTATACAGTATGTATCGTATATCTGTGATATTAAAATTGTAAGAGGGGTAATTAGGGAAAAAATGTCTAAAAGTAACTTCTTGAAGGGAGGGAGGAGACAGGGATAATGAAAAGGTTGAGAAGCCATACTTTAAGGGAACTAATAGGATTTTGGTCATTTTGCCATCCATTTTCTCTGGCTTGGCAACAGATATTTGTATATCATGTGGAGCATAATCTTGTTGTGTAAAATGTTGAGAGAATACCTTGTCTAAAGAATGATTGTAGTGATTTAGAATGGTAGGGAATGAAAAAAATTAGTGAGTTTTTTTTTTTTTTAAACAAACCCTAAGAGCTGTTGTTTATTCCAAGCTTTATGTAACATAGCTGGCTAGCTACTATGAACAGCAGATAAGATTGGGCAACATTTGGTATCAAAGATAATTAGAGGAATGATGTTGATATTTTCTTGTTTTTTGAATGCCATTAAAATTAAAAGTAATAATTGAAAAGACCCTTCATGTAATAAAAAATGATACCGTGAAATATTTCTTTGACAAACTGGAAACCTTTTTTTTAGTCTGTTCAGTAGGCTCACAGAGCTTTATTTATATATGACCTGTGATATACATTTTGCATAATTTCTCATGCAAACATCATGCATATTTTCTCACTTTATGAAGTAAGAACAAAGTTCAGTATGTTCTGTATTTTTTTTTACGCTGGAGGATTGATGTGATATGAAGCTGATTAAAAGGAAGGTTACTGATAACTACAAAAGAGTGTGCTTTGAGTTTCATTTTTAGTAATGGCAGCAAATGTATTCAGATTCATTATGTTTTTTCACAAAGTTTAAATGTATACCATTGGGGCTAAGTGTACAGGCTGTGGCCTTGGAACAGAGAGAAGCTAACTAGTCCACATGGAGATCAAACCCCAGGACCATGGTCTTAATTAGGATCGTACTACAACCACTTGGAAGCAGTACAACTACCAGACAAAATGGCTGATCCTAAATATTGGTAGAATCATATCAATGTGGAAAATTGGTTTGTGTCAACATAGGAATTCATGGATGGACAAAAATAGTAAGTGATTGTGATATACCAGGTTAGTGTAGCTGCAATTATGCTTGTAAATTTTTTGTCTACTTATGTAAACATTTTCACAGGTTTGTAGCTAATAGAAGAAAACAAAGAATCTGTTCACCTATTTATGTAAGTGAAAGTGTAAATTTAAAAATACATTTAGTCCTGCTGTTAATAACCCTTCCATTCTTTTTTACTTTCCCTCAGACCATATATTGTGATTATAGTTTCTGCTGAGGAGGATGGAAACTCAACTCCCTTTGAATAATATTAGTAATTCTACTTGATGTTCAGAACCGGATTGCAAGAGAGTTTAAAGTGCCCAACACCCCTTGTGGGAAACTTTTTAGTATCTTAAGTGCATGGAACTACTGCTGCAGCCACACCGCCTGAAGCTTCAGCCACACTGAAACTTCATAACAAAACTTACCCTCTTTTTTCCTAATTTCTGTGGTCATTGCAATTTGAGCATGTTACTTTGTTTAACAAAAACTCATTTCTTAAAGATTATTTTAGTATTGCTGTACAAACAGAATAAAATTATGGCATTATTCAGTGACTTGTGGTCTTAGTTTCTGCCCTTTGTTAAATTTAGCTTTGTTCTCTGATTTAACCTTGAGATCCCAGACCCCTTATTAAATAAGTCTTATAGACATTCTACCTCGTAACAAGTAAAATTGGTATGTAAAGATTCTGTAACTAGTAAATTGGATAAGTCATTAATTACATAAACGATTACCTGATGATTACTTGAGGTCCCTTTATTTAGGAATATAAATGATATTTCCCCTACTAGGCTTTTTTCTTTTTCTTTTAAAAAGATCTTATTCTCGGCCGGGTGTGGTGGCTCACACCTGTAATCCCAGCACTTTGGGAGGCCGAGGCGGGCGGATCACGAGGTCAGGAGATCAAGACCATCCTGGCTAACCCATCCTGCCTAACACGGTGAAACCCCATCTCTACAAAAAATACAAGAAATTAGCTGGGCAAGGTAGCGGGCGCCTGTAGTCCCAGCTACTCGGGGGGGGGGGGGGGGGCTGAGGCAGGAGAATGGCGTGAACCCAGGAGGCGGAGCTTGCAGTGAGCCGAGATTGCGCCACTGCACTCCAGCCTGGGCGACAGAGCAAGACTCCGTCTCAAAAAAATAAATAAATAAAAATTAAAATTAAAAAAATACAAAATAAATAAAAGATCTTATTCTGGCTCTCCTTTAAATAGCAAAACAGTAGCCTGGGCCCATAATATCTTGTTGCTCTGTTTACCATCATATAACAAATGCTTTTCTCTGGGTCATTCTATCCATTTAGGGACTATTTTGGCTAATAGTCCCTAAAACCATTAGCTCCTCCATATGTGCCATTTGTATAATTCTTTAGTAAATTGTATTAATGGGAGAATCTGTAAGTTACGTCTGAACTTTCAGGTTGTCTTATAATTGTCTTTTTCCTTATGTCAGATGTTCTATGTCATAAGAATAAAATGGTTCACACCAATACAAGTACTTAGTTGTGGAAAGGGAGAGTAGAAGATAAAAATGGAGATTTTCCTGTGCTACAGGCTTAGTCAAGCTTATGGTCTATTTAATGGTTATCAAAGGCAATTAAATAGTGTTGAGTGTTCTGCTTTTACCTACATTTCATTTTTCATGTACTTAGTTACAAATTGAACCCTCTTCTATTTTTTTCCTGCTCCTGTTTCTGTTTCATTTTAGTTTTCCTTTTCCCTGATTATCATTTAGGCATGTAAGTGACACCCAGTAGCATTGCTTTAATTCTGCTGGTGACAGTGCCAAAGCTTTACTATACTCTTTTTGTTGTCTGTTGCTTTTCTCTTGCTAATTTGCTTGACTAGATAACTAAGAATTCAGGTAAGCATTAGCTCTTTGTTCACTGAGAATAATACAACTTGCAAGATAATTAATTTGGATTGTTCTACATGTATTTCGTTTATTTCTCTTTACCTTGTTCATTTATTACGACATTTTGAATTATTTACATACCCATATTTCTTCTTTCTTTTATGGCTCAGCTCACTATGCTTTTTTTTAATACTGGTAGCTTCCTCAAGGTTGGAAAACAAGATCTGAATACTATAGAAAATAATAACTATTTTTCTGTGGTCATATTAAAGATATAATGGCTTTGGATTTTGGGGTGATTTTTCTACTGTCAGTTTAAAAAAAACTTGTCTATTTGCATTTGTGTGTTATTACTTCTAGTTAAGAGTATTTCCAAGGAAAGTTTCATGTTACTTATTTTGTTTCCATGTCTTTTTCCAAAAGAACTTATTTTTTATATTATAATAAATATCAGTGGAAAAGTAGGTTTCGTTATATAGAAATTAACTTTAGGCTGGGTGCAGTGGCTCAAGCCTATATTTGGGAGGCCGAGGCAGGAGGATTGCTTGAACTCAGGAGTTCGAAACTAGCGTGGGCAATGTAGCGAGACCTGGTCTCTACAAAAAAAAAAAAAAAAAGAAAAAAAAGAAAAGAAATAAAGGAAACCCCCTTTTTTTGTTTTTTTGTTTTTTTTTGAGATGAAGTCTTGCTCTGTCGCCCAGGCTGGAGTGCAATGGCACGATCTTGGCTCACTACAACCTCCGCCTCCCAGGTTCAAGCGATTCTCCTGCCTCAGCCTCCTGAGTAACTGGGATTACAGGCGTGTGCCACCATGCCTGGCTAATTTTTGTATGTTTAGTAGAGACAGGGCTTCATCATGTTGGCTAGGCTGGTCTCGAACTCCTGACCTCAAGTGATCCACCTGCCTCGGCCTCCCAAGTGCTGGGATTACAGGTGTGAGCCACCACTCCCGGCAAGAAATTCACTTTTTAGACCTGTTCAAGAATACATCTATTGCATAAAGTGGAAAAAGATTTGTACTGAAATCCTTGGCCTTTTTCCATCAGATTTTTAAAACAAAAAGTTGAATTTGTATTCAAGTCTATTTTAGTAGTATTTTGACTTTTGTATAATCTAGAGCATTATTTCTGTATCTCAGGAAGCTGAATATGGTGGGCATGATCAGATAGATTTGTATGACGATGTCATATCTCCATCTGCAAATAATGGAGATGCCCCAGAAGACCGAGATTACATGGATACTCTCCCACCAACTGTTGGTGATGATGTGGGTAAAGGAGCAGCACCAAATGTTGTCTATACATATACTGGAAAGAGAATTGCATTATATATTGGAAATCTAACATGGGTAAGTGAAGTTAATATAAGAATTAAATTATTGGTAATTGATTTTGAACTGCTCTAGTAATTAATGTTTTTCTCCAGATTTTTATAAGTTTGAAGTTACTGTGTTTTTCTATATGTGTTTGCTTGTCCAATGAGGAGGGAAATACAAATATCTTTGCAACATCGTTAATTCGAATTCTTCTAGTTTTGAGTTTTGTGGTCATTCAACTTTTCTTGGTGGAGATACTAGTTAAATATAGTTAAATTAGTTTTGTCTTCAGTTACCTTTTTTATGCTACCACTTTACCTTGCTTCCGATAGCCCAGTTTCACTAAAAATAATGCTCACATGGGGTCTCAAACCAGGATTCAAGTGTAAAAGGAAAGAGACATAGTATCACTCCTGGTTTAAAAATAGTGTCCATTATTTAATTTGTGTTACAAATTTGAGTTTTATTTCTGCCCTTAAATTTGAAATCTGATTTATAGAAGCACTTCTGTGCGTATTATATTTTAATTTGGGTTGTCATGAGACTAAGATTATTGATTTAGAGCTTCATTAAATGCACATATGTATATTTATTTTTTATTAATATTACATCTTAAGTATCATTAAAATAGTCCTATAGAATGTTTGTATTTCTACTTAGTTATATGTATACTTGAAAGTTAAAAACTTGTATATGCAAAAATCAATAAAACTTGGCACCCTTGCATTTCCTTAATAACACTGTATTTTTAAACGTTTTATTTACATTTCTTTTTTTCAGGGGGAGACAGAATTTGCAAAACTCTGTCACCCAGGCTGGAGTGCAGTGGTGTAATCATAGCTCACTGAAGCCTCAAACTCCTGGGCTGAAGTGATTCTCCTGTGTCAGCCTCCAAGTAGCTAGGACCACAGGCATGTGTCACTCTGCCTGGCTAATTAAAAACAAAACAAACACTTTTGTAGAGCTGACTTCTTGCTATATTGCTTCAGGCTGGCCTCAAATTCCTGGCCTCAAGTGATCCTCCTAACCAAGCTCTCAAAGTGCTAGGATTATGGTGCCCAGCCTATTTACATTTCTTTTAAAACTAAATGTAACAGATCTCCCACCACCCAGTCTGAGTATTCTATAAAATTGGAGACAGTAGCAGTGTAGTTATGAAAGTATGGTTGCTAAGTAAGTATTTGGATCTTAGCTCCACCATCTATTATTAGTTTTGTGACCTTGTTAAAGAGTTAAAGCTCTTTAACTTCTATTGTATCATGTGTAAAATGGGTATAATAATAGTGCTTATATGGTTGTTATAAGAGTTAGTTGATACATAAAGTATATGGTAGATATTAAATACATGTTAGTTTTTTCTTATCTGCATTTTAATTCAAAAACAAGATGAAATTCAAAATACTTTCCTTTAATGGGAGGAAGTGAAATTGGTTTTATTCACAATTTAAAATCATAGCAGTTTAAAGCTGTAAGGGACCAGAAACTCTTGAGAGTCAAATCTTATTGTAACCCCAAGGGTATATACCTTCTAGTTTCTGAAATACTTATCAGGGAATGAAGTTAGGTTCCCAGATGGTTTTTGTGCTGTTTAAAAATTGGAGTCTGACTGGCCATAACTAGACTTAGATTTGCACTCAGCATTTATTTTCTCTTTTATGTCTCAAATTTCCCCTTAAAAACTAGACTGGGATAATAAAAATCTTGGTTTTATTTTAATGGTTAATGAGGGGGAAAATATCTTGCAGTGGACAACAGATGAAGACTTAACTGAAGCAGTTCATTCTTTGGGAGTAAATGATATTTTGGAGATAAAATTTTTTGAAAATCGGGCAAATGGCCAGTCAAAGGGGTAAGTTTTTTTTTTCTTTCTTTTTGATTTAGTAGCTAGTGATACAGTTTTTACAAGTTAACTTTCCTTTAAGTTAATGTTAATTACACATGTATACACATGTATACAAACAACACATGATTGTTTACATTGGAAGGAGGTTCTTGGGCAAAGATTGATACTTTTCATTTTACGTACCCTATTACCTAACACACTAAAACCAGTAGAGTGGAAATGTGGACAGATTTATTTTCTATTTTTCCCAAGTTTTCTCTATCTGTGGTTGAAATGGTTGTTGAAATGACAGTTTAAGAACCATTACTCTCCCTGTGATTAAGAGATGGGAGAAGATGGGCAACTGAATAATGTGTTACATGGATATTTTGCTTTATTTCACTACTAAACTATACAAGTGGGATAGCCTCAGCATGAGAACATTATAAATACAGATATCTAAAAGTAAGAAAATAAAATACCACTGTCCTACCATTCATTGATGTTTACTTTTAACATTTTAGTGAAGATTCTTTTGGGCTTTTTCCTAAAAATAAATAAATAAATAAATAATGGAATTATAATTCATGTGTTTTATATGTTTGATATAAGGAATAAAAATAAATACACATCCTCTCTAATGTCTAATTCTTTTGCATCATACCTGGTATGCTACTGTAATTTACCTTTCTTATTTTTGGTTATCGTGGTGGTTTCCACTTTTGCCTATTGTAAATAATGTTGCAGCAGACATCATTTTATATAAGTCTTTTGGTACAGATTTTGGATTTTCTTTTAAGGATAAATTGTTAGATGCACAATGATAAAGAATTTTCTTATTTCTTATATTGCTTACTTATCTTAGAAGATTATACCAATTTATACTAAACTGAGAATATTTTCAAAATATATGCAGAGTCTGAATACTTCTCACTAACTTTACTTATACCACTTGGTCAAAGCCACTATCATCTCTCACTTAAACTTTGGCAGTAGCTTCCTAACTGGAAGTATAGACTGCCCCCTACAGTCTGTACTCCACATAACAGAAGTTCTAAAAAAAAAATGACATTCTGCTCAATCTTCTCATGGTTTCCTGTCTGTCTCATTCTTTACCATTGTCTACAAGGTACTTTCTGGTCTGTTTTCCCACCACCTTTCTAACCCTATCCTACCACTCTTTTTCAGCCACATTAGTCTCTTTGCTGTTGGCCAGACCAATTCCTACCTAGGACCTTTAGCTGTTTTCTCTTCTTGGTTTACTTTTCCCCCTCAAATATCCACATGGCTTACTCTTTGACTTCATTCAGGACTCAAACTGTTTAAGAGTTTTCTTCCATGACCATCTTGTGCAAAGTAGCACCTTCCTATCCTGTTTCCTTTATTTCTGCTCTGATATATTTTACTCGTTTGTTGTCTCCTCTTCCAAGCCTTTAAGCTTAATGAGAACAGAGATTTTGTTTTGTTCTCTATTACTTCTCCAGCTCTAGAATGGTACCTTGCGTATAAGAAGTGGTGCTTAATAAATATTTGTTAAATTAATTTAGTTTTTTCTAAATGTTGTGACCCAAGATAATCCTGGTGCAAACAGCAGAACTTGTTGACTAAAATAAGAAGGATAATTTAAAAGATCATATTGAACATTAGGGGGAAAAGAGCTTAAGCTTCTTAAGCTACTAAGACCCTCCCTCCCTCAAATAATTTAGAATATCCTGTAACTATACGAATTGGTAATCATTCTGATTATTTTAAATTTGTTTTTCTTTTTGAGGTATAATTCATATGCCATAAAATGCAGGCTTTTAAATGTACAATTCAATGATAATTTATTATATTTATGAAGTTTAGCAACCATTACCACTGTCTCATTCCAGAACATTTCATCACTCCAAGAAGGAACCTTGTACCTGGTTAGCAGTCACTCCCATTTCCTCTCTTCCTATCTGCTGGCAACTGCTAACGTGCTCTGGATATGCCTGTTCTGGACATTTCATCTAAATGGAATCATAAAATACGTAGTCCTATGTGACTGGCTTTTTTCCTTAGCATAATGATTTTAAGGTTCATCCATGTTGAAGCATGCATCAGCATTTCTTTTTATGGCTGAGTAATATTCCACTACATGGATATAGCACTTTTTTCTTTTAATCTATCAGTCGATGGACGTCTAGGTTATTTCCACTTTTGGCTATTAAGGAAAATGCCCCTGTGAATATTTGTGTACCCATTTTGTGTGAACATGTATTTTCAGTTCTGTTGGATGTGTACCTAGGAATGGAATTACTGGGTTAATATAGTAACTCTATGTTTAAATGTTTGAGGAATTACCAGATTATTTGCCAGAGGCATTGTGCCATTTTATTAATACGTGCTCATCAGCAATGTGCAATGGTTCCAGTTTCTCCACATATTTATTTATTTATTTATTTATTGAGACAGAGTCTCACTCTGTCACCCAGGCTGGAGTGCAGTGGCGCAATCTTGGCTCATTGCAACTTCTGCCTCCCAGGTTCAAGCGATTCTCCTGTCTCAGCCTCCCAGCGTGGGACTACAGGCACACGCCACCATGCCTGGCTAATTTTTGAATTTTTAGTAGAGACGGGGTTTCACCATGTTGGTCAGGCTGGTCTTGAACTCCTGACCTCATGATCCTCCTGCCTTGGCCTCCCAAAGTGCTGAGATTATAGGCGTGAGCCACTGCACCCGGCCTCTCCACATCTTTAATACTTGTCTTTTTGATTATAGCCACCCTAGTGGGTATGGGGTGGTATCTTGTGGTTTTGATTTGCACTTCCCCAATAGTTAATGATATTGTACATCTTTTTATTGTAGCAAAAAGTGGAAGCAACCCAAATGTCCATGAACTGATGGATACATTTCTTTTAATGTTGTATATTTATAATGGAAAATTATTCACCCATAAAAGTAAGTGGTGATGCATGCTGTAACAGTGGATGAAGCTTGAAAACATGCTAGTTAAAGAAGGCTGGTCACAAGGGACCTCCTATTGTATGATTCCATTTAGATGAAATGTCTAGGATAGGCCAGTCCAGAGACAGAAATTAGGTTTAGTGGTTCCATAGGGTACAGGGATGGGAAGGAATGGGAGCGATGGCTAATGGATATGGAGTTTCTTTTTGGGGTGATGAAAATGTTTTAAAATTGATTATGGTGGTGGTTATAACACTGTGAAATACTAAAAACCACTGAATTATATATTTTGAATGACTGAATTCTATGGTATGTTATACAAGATGAACAAAAATGTGTACTCGTATAGTTAAGAAATATTTTTAGTTTTTAAAATTATTTATTTTTAGAGACAGGATCTCACTGTGTTGCCCAGGCTGGAGTGCAGTAGTGTGATTATAGGTTACTGTAGCCTCAAACTCCTGGGCTCAAGCAATCCTCGTGCCTCAACCTTCTAAGCAGCTGGGATTACAGGCATGAGCCACTGTGCCCAGCTGTTGTTTTAGATAAAAGCAGATTAAGACCTTTTTACAGAAGAATAACAGTAATAATATTGATCTCTTTTTACTTTGTATCCTCACCCCTTAAACACTTTTTAGGTTTGCCCTTGTTGGTGTTGGATCTGAAGCATCTTCAAAAAAGTTAATGGATCTGTTACCTAAAAGAGAACTTCATGGTCAGAATCCTGTTGTAACTCCATGCAATAAACAGTTCCTGAGTCAATTTGAAATGCAGTCCAGGAAAAGTAAGCAGTCCTCAGAGGCTTTTATTAAAATATGTACATTTTAACCAGTGCATTTGTTAGGTGTTATACTAGAGAAGTCATCTTAATACTAGCTCACTAGGAACTCCATTTCACAAAGTCCATGCTTTGAATTAGATTTAATCACTGGTTATGACTGTGGGCCTGTGTACGAGAAACCTACTCCTGTTCCATTTTTCTCCAGATGTAACAGACCCAATACTATACAACAATGTGCAAGTTCTATAGCCCTGCCATTCTTGTCCTATTATTTCCATCTTAGATACAGAAAGAAACTACATTCTAATTCTTAGATTAAAGGAGAGCTATGTGGATGTGTATTATGGTGGGGGAGAGATCACTGATAACCAGAAAATGTTCATTGATTTTTCTGCTTGGCAACAAGACCTTTCACCACTTGGTAAACTGAATATAGAAAAGATTTGTCATTATACATTTAAGTACATTATCTTTAAAGAGATGAGATGGATGATTATGTAATTAACAGAAATTCAAGTGGTTCCTTTTCTTTTAATGTTTTAGCACTTAAGACTTAACTGAAGAAGTGTGTTACAAAATTTAAATGATGTAATACTGAAATTAAGATATCTGTTGAAGAATTTCGGTCTTGGCTGCTGCAGAGTGCTGGTATTTTGAAAGTAACTCACGATTACCTATGGAAAATATATTTAAACCTGGATATTTTGAGTCTTTAAAAGTACCCAAATAGATGTGAATGTTTTCCTAAACCATACTTTCTTATGTAGTTTGCATAGGCACAAGGCATTTGCAAGTTAATATATTAGAAATAGAGTTGTTTTTAATAATAGTGGTTACATTTCAGAAAACTATTTTTAATAAGTGCTATTTATGAGTATTTGGATATTTGCAGCTACACAATCAGGACAAATGTCTGGGGAAGGTAAAGCTGGTCCTCCAGGAGGCAGTTCCCGTGCAGCATTTCCACAAGGTGGTAGAGGACGGGGCCGTTTTCCAGGGGCTGTTCCTGGTGGGGACAGATTTCCTGGGCCAGCAGGACCAGGAGGGCCACCCCCACCTTTTCCAGGTAAAACTTTTCTTAAATTACCATGGATAAAACATGTCTACCTAATACCTCTTTTCCTTTTCTCTCTTTTTCAAGTAATGCATTATTAATGTGACTTACTCTCCTTGTTATGCTATTTTTGGAATCCAGGAAATTTGATCAAGCATCTTGTTAAAGGAACTCGGCCTTTGTTCCTGGAAACTAGGATTCCATGGCATATGGGGCACAGCATAGAGGAAATACCCATTTTTGGCCTAAAAGGTCTTTATTTTTCTCCAAACTTGCTTGACTTATATATAGAATATTTACATCCGTCTTACTTTCTTACCTCTTAAAAAAATCCTTTCAAGATCATTTTTCCTTGTTTCACTTTCTAGCTTGGCATCAGAGTAGAATATAAGGTGGGTGATTTCACTGTAAGAAGTGTGTGTACACGGAAAGATGGAAAATATCTCTAGGCATTGTAATATTTTTTTATTAAAGTTTTCGTTTCAATAATTTTTCTTAAGCATAAATTGAGCTAGTTAAATTTGTAAGGATATACTTCATTGTAGTTGGTAGTGTAACATTTACCATACGGGTTTAATTTAAAGACAAAGACTTGGTGTATGCTCTATGCGTTTAAAGTATAATCTTGGCATATAAAAGTTAAAATATCTTATTAGTGAAGTGTTTTTTTTTCTCTCTTTCTCCTTTGTTTTTTAGCTGGACAGACTCCACCACGTCCACCCTTAGGTCCTCCAGGCCCACCTGGTCCACCAGGTCCTCCACCTCCTGGTCAGGTTCTGCCTCCTCCTCTAGCTGGGCCTCCTAATCGAGGAGATCGCCCTCCACCACCAGTTCTTTTTCCTGGACAACCTTTTGGGCAGCCTCCATTGGGTCCACTTCCTCCTGGCCCTCCACCTCCAGTTCCAGGCTACGGCCCCCCTCCTGGCCCACCACCTCCACAACAGGGACCACCTCCACCTCCAGGCCCCTTTCCACCTCGTCCACCCGGTCCACTTGGGCCACCCCTTACACTAGCTCCTCCTCCGCATCTTCCTGGACCACCTCCAGGTGCCCCACCGCCAGCTCCGCATGTGAACCCAGCTTTCTTTCCTCCACCAACTAACAGTGGCATGCCTACATCAGATAGCCGAGGTCCACCACCAACAGATCCATATGGGCGACCTCCACCATATGATAGGGGTGACTATGGCCCCCCTGGAAGGTAAGTTAGTGTGTATCTGTGAAAGTACTTGATGATAAAAGATAGGAACAATGACTGTAAATATTAGATTGTAGGTATATAAATATGTTATTTCTGCCTTCCAAGAAGATGAGGTGTTTAAGCTGCTACCCTGTTTTAGCTGAAAGATACTGGTATAGGAGAATTTTTAGATTTGTTCTCTTTGTTGGAAAAGTAGCATGCTTCAATATGGAAAAGTAACTACTATCTCTAAAGCACATGTCAGAAGCAGCTAGTATGAATTGCTATACACTGTTGTGACTAACTGAGGAAATCTGTTGAGTATGAGTTAAGGTTTATGTTTTTGTTTTACAGGGAAATGGATACTGCAAGAACGCCATTGAGTGAAGCTGAATTTGAAGAAATCATGAATAGAAATAGGGCAATCTCAAGCAGTGCTATTTCGAGAGCTGTGTCTGATGCCAGTGCTGGTTTGTGTATTTCTTGTATTAATATTTCTTATTTATGTTATTAGGAATGACCTAAAAATGTAAGTACAATCTAGAAGATAGGTCATTTACATGTAGTAGTTCTTTTTATATTCCCAAATCATTACCTACGATTTATTTAAAAAGCATTGAAAAAAGTTGTGTGTCACAGTGTAGTGGGGAAAATCCAAATTTTAAGTTATTTGGTATAGATTTAAGTCTTACCCTTGACATTTAATGGTTCAGGGGCCTCATGACACCTTATTTATTCTTATATTTGCAAAATGATAATGTGCTTCACACACGTATAATAAGTTGAGTCAATATCATGAGCATGAAAGGCTTTTGCAAATGGTGAAACACTGAAAGAAGACATTGTCTTGCATAGTTATTTTATAGCACAGTACTTTTGTAAAATGCCTTATCACTCTTATCCCAAGTGGTTTGATGGTGTTTTGAAAACAAAATTTGTTTGACTTCAAACCCTTTCCTTTCCCTCACAGGTGATTATGGGAGTGCTATTGAGACACTGGTAACTGCAATTTCTTTAATTAAACAATCCAAAGTATCTGCTGATGATCGTTGCAAAGTTCTTATTAGTTCTTTGCAAGATTGCCTTCATGGAATTGAGTCCAAGTCTTATGGTTCTGGATCAAGGTAAAACTTTCCTGTCTCATTTCCATTTAAAAAAACTGTTAGTTTACAAATGGAAAAAATACTGTGAGACTTTAAAAGGAGGACTTTGCTTTTACTTACTGATTATTTAGCAGCTGGAGTGGTTTTTTTTTTTAACTCTAAATGTTAGTTGCTTGCTTAAAACCCTTTAAAGGCTCCTACTCAGTCTTAAAGCAAGACTGTAAAGATTGAGGGACTGTGTGATAAAGCCCCTGCCTATCTTTTTAGCCTCATTTTGTACCTCTCCCCTTACTCACTGTTCTCCAGTGAGTATTTCTCCATATTTCTCCTTTTCTTTAGGTACACCAAATGTTTGACCACCTCACTTTATATTCCTTCTGCTGGGAGCAGTTTTCCCTGTCTCTTCACATAGCTGGCTCCTTATTCTTCACGTCTCATTCTAACTTCTTAGGGTGGGGCTTCTCCCAAGTTAGTCTGTCGTATTGTTCTTTTTATTTCTTCCATAGTACTTACCATAATCAATTCTTACTTGTTATAAGGCATATTTTTCCTCATTAGAACACATGTTGAATGATGGCAGGGGATTTATCTATCCTGCTTACTATATTTCTTTTCTTTTAAGAGATGGGTCTTGTTAAGTTACCCAGGCTGGTCCTGAACTCCTGGGCTCAAGTAATCCTCTCAGCTTGGCCTCCCAAAGTGTTGGGATGATAGGCATGAGCCAGTGTGCTCAGCCATGCTCGTTATAATATTTCTAATGCCTACAGAGTGTGTGGTACAGAATGAGTGCTAAATAAAAATTTCTCGAATGAGGGAGTGACTGAATGAATGAATGATCTATCTTTTAGGTAGTTCCTTTTTTTTTCTTTTTAGCATTGCTGCTAACTTTGAAATTTTATATATTTTTGAAAGGCAGACCTAATCTTCACTTGGTATTCTTAGATATGTCTTTAGTGTACTCTATCTGGTAGTAATCTGTAAGAGAAAAGAGCTTGCCTTTGACATGGTCCCCAGTTTTGTAATTATTACCTTTTTGACCCGGTGTAAGAATCTTTGTGTCTAAACAAATTTGTCATAGATATAGTTATCTTGTATCATCTTTTTAAGTTTTGAAGTCCAAAGTAATAATTTTTTAATCCCAACACTTTGGGAGACCAAGGCAGGAGGATCACGTGAGCCCCAGGAGTTTGAGACCAGCCTTGGCCACATAAGGAGTTTTTCTACAAAAAAATTTTAAAAATATCTGGGCCTGGTGGTGCATGCCTATAGTCCCAGCTACTTGGGAGGCTGTGGTGGGAGGGTTGCTTGAGCCTCAGAGGTCGAGGATGAAATGAACTGTGATCATGTCCCTGCACTCCAGCCTGGGTGACAGAGAGAGAGAGAGAGACCCTATCTTGAAAAAACAAAGTAATAACTTAGGCCTTGATCAAGGATTTTAGCACCTAATGTTTGCTAAGCTTAGCTGTCTGGTGCAGAAATACAAGACATAAATATTATTTCGTAGACAGTTATTATTTCCTTACTGTGAATTTAGCAGAATTTATAGAAGTCTTTTGGGTAGTAAGCTTTGGTTAAATTATTTGTTTTTAAAAAATCGCAGTTCATGAAACATTTCTACTTATTAAATACAATGTGAATACTATATCTATTCTTGCTACTGGTCATAATTGTTAGCCCTCTCCCATGCCTCTTCTCCTCCCCTGAATATAACATGCGTATTAGAAGGTTTCTTTGTGTTGGATGCTGCTCATGAACCATATGTTAAGAGGTTGTCATATTCATGTATTTAAGCCCCATTGTGTGTTGTGATTTCATGACTTTTATATCTAAAAAAACCATATTGTAGATGTTCTTTAGCTTGAAACACGAGTGCTTTGAAATTTTCCCTTTACCTTTCTATTTGTGCATTCAGTAAATACTACACATCTGTTTTAGGCTACTAGTTTAATAGATGATGTGATGCATTTCTGTGATGTGTCTGGTTGCTGATTTTTTTGTTAATGTTTTTAATAGTGAAATTTCTGGTTCATGCTTACCTGGTGAGTTGGTAAGTCGTTATTGGCAGCTCAGGATAGTAAGTTTAAACCAGATTTACAAAGAATTTTTGCTGCCTAAGTTTTTTTAGACATCAAAAAATTGAATATTTTTAGGCTATCTAATTATGGAGAGCATTAATCCAGTAATTTCTTTTAGAAGACGTGAACGATCAAGAGAGAGGGACCATAGTAGATCACGAGAAAAGAGTCGACGTCATAAATCCCGTAGTAGAGACCGTCATGACGATTATTACAGAGAGAGAAGCAGAGAACGAGAGAGGCACCGGGATCGTGACCGAGACCGTGACCGAGAGCGTGACCGAGAGCGCGAATATCGTCATCGTTAGAAGGTGGGTATTCCTTGTTCCCTGTTAAATGTGTGTGTATTCTTAACAGTAACTATAACTCCAAGGCTACTGTTTATACAGTATATACCTACATTTTAAATGGTCCAACTACTTGTGAATTTAATCTTCTGGAAACATCTGAAACAAATTATAGGTAAGTAATGACAGGTAAAAATTTTGACCCTTTATCTTATGAATATTTTATTGCTGAGTTATCACTTTCAGGTTTCAAATAGTTAATGGTCTTAACAAAGCAAGGAAATAATCAAGAGGACTCATTGTGTACTTCTAAAATCTAAAAATTGGGGTTCTTGTATCACATACATAGGTTGCATGCAATTTAAAATACAAAACACAGGGAGTTATTTCACATATATGTTATGTGTTTGGATTTTTAAAAATAAATGGAAAGTTACTATTTTTGAACTAGTTTTATTTGTCCCTAAAAATTTATGAGAAAATCTAACACAATAATAGTTTATAATACAGGAGGGTGTTTTCTCAACATTCAAAGAGAATTTTCCTTTAAAAAAAAAATTTTTTTTTTTAGAAGAGACACTATCCTGACATCTGCTTTTTGTTTTTAAAAGAAACAGTATCCTTTAATTTGCAAAGAAGATGTAAAAGTTAATCAATTAAAATGGGTTTAGGGTGCACTGATTTATATCTAAAAATTTTAAATTGTGTCAAGCCATATACCCAAGTTTAGAATACCTTGAAATAATTTTCTTTGATGTTTCATTCATAAATCATAATCATTGTCTTTTTTTCTGTATTTTAAAACTTTCTTGTGTACATTTTTCATGAAGTGGGAAGAGTTGTCTGTTTATGCTTCATTTTCACATGTAATTTTATTTTTTATATTTGTTAATAGCATTTATTCATGTGAAGAGCTGGGGGAGGGCACTATAAGGCTTATGCATGTGACACAAAGGTTATTCTGTAAATTAAAATATTTTTTCTTTATATGTTGGTTGGCATATTCAAATTAAATTAAGGCTAAACAAACCCCTCATAGGTAAATACTCTTTATGTGATTATTTTCAGTAATCATGGGAAACTTACTGAAAATTCAGTCATGGTAATTGTTAGTATTTAAATTGTTATGGGCAAAATTAAAGGTTTTATCAAGTGTATGTAATTCTGTGACAGAATACCAATTTCTTTAACCATAACAGATACGCAAATGAAGTCCTTAAATGCCTAGAAAATAAGCATGCTATTTTTATGGAACACAGATATAAGCTCCTACACTATTTACAATTTTAAGGGCTTTTTGAGTTAAAAGGCTGGTTTTGATACTTTGCATTTTGAATATGCAGATTGAATATCAAAACTTTAATTTGTAGTTTTCCATGTATTACAAAATTTAATATAAATCTCAAAACATTCTTTTAATATGAGGCAAAAAAACCTTTTACTTTTAAAACTAAGCTTATTGAAATTGATATTGTTTTTGAATGTAAAAATTGAATGTTGTATTATGTAAATCTAAACACTAAATTTTAAAGATGTAGCACTTTTTTCCCCTGAGTTAAATACATCTGATCCCATCTTAATGAAAAAATTCTCAATATCCATCAGTTGCTTAAACTGGATTGTGACTGGGTTATTAGTTGAAATGCTTACCTATGTCAGTCATTTCCATTATAGAAGGGTACAGGTTCTGTAAGTTACCTATTTTTTTGGACTTTATAAGTTATCAGCAAGCTTCTTGTTAGTAAAGGCATGATAATGAAACTTGAATTCATCTACAAAATTGGATGTGCCCATCAAGGGGCCTCTAAACCAATTTAAGCCCAAAGTTAACTAATTACAATTTCTACTGGTTTTAGTAAAACTAGCATAGTCAACCAAGTAAACAAAGTCCATTGTTAATCTTATTTGAGTTAGCTAACATTACATTCTAGTAATGGGTACACCTAAATATATCATGACTTGAGTTTCATTACATTCAGACATAAACTACAAATTCCTAATGTGCAAACTATTGTTGACATTTTTCTTAATCACTGATGTACCATACCAGAATTTCCATGTTTTGTTTGTACATTAATCAGAATTGAGTTGTAATACTGTATGTGCCTTCATCCAAGAAAAATTTTACATAAGCATTTCTAGTGCAAAAAATTCTGTTATCCTGGATTATTGTACGTTTGCTATATCAAACAGTATTGTGGATGTAGACTTGAATAAAGGGGTGGGGACTGGGATTAAATATATTCAAGTAAATCTTTAAAACAAAAGCTATCTGCAAATTTGATCACCATCATAATAAGGTCTGTTGACCTTTTTAGAAGTTTTAAAATATGAGTCCTTTTGAGCTTTCATGTAAATCTTAAATGGACCAAATGGACTGAGTGATTTGAAAGCTAAAGTGAATGTCACTAGTAAGGCTGTATACAAATAAAATACTAATGTAATCTATTAAAGTGATGATGAATGGCTAAAAGGGCAAGTTCTTAACTTTTTAACTGGAAACGTAATGATCTTGGCAAGCTGTTAATGTCTGTCCCATCTTAATTTTTTTTTGTGTTTGAACTGTTGGTAATGTTAATTGCATTCTCTCATTTTAAAATGTATTGGTTTTTCTAAAAGTATTCAATATCTAAGTTCAAATAGATAATATTTTAATGAGAAAATACCAATATTGTAAATTTCAGTATGTAAATACGTTGTGCTTCATATTCTGTAATTTCTACCTCTATTCTCAGACCACTCTGAGCAAAATAAAAGTAGTTCAGTGCTTTACGATTGTACATTTTTTACTGAAATAATTTTAGTTTCATAGTTGAGTTACTTAAAAGGTTACGTTCCTCTTGTCACTTCTTTGGAACATCCCTACTCAGCAAATTTGTGTTAACAATTCAGCTTTTCTTTGTTTACTGAAACCAAATTATGTTTTTTTAAAATACTCTTTATTCAGGCTTTTCCTCTCTCTATTTTATGAGGTTTTACAATTCTCAAATCATCCATGACAATTTTTAAGCATTGGGTATGGGGTCTGGATTAAATAACTTGCCTTTGCTATCTGATTACTTTTTTTTTTTTTTTTTTTTTGAGATGGAGTCTTGCTCTTGTTGCCCAGTCTAGAGTGCAGTGGCACAATCTCAGCTCACCACAACCTTCACCTCCTGGGTTCAAGCAATTCTCCTGCCTTAGCCTCCGGAGTAGCTAGGATTACAGGCATGTGGCACCACGCCCGGCTAATTTTGTAGTTTTAGTAGAGATGGGGTTTCTCCATGTTGGTCAGGCTGGTCTCAAACTCCCGACGTCAGGTGATCCACCCATCTCTGCCTCCCAAAGTGCTGGGATTGATTACAGGCGTGAGCCACCGCGCCCAGTCTAGTCTGATTACTTTTTTCCTACCTTAAATATCATGATCTTAGGATCTTAGATTTTGTTATTGCCCAAGATTTAGGATGCTTTGCATTGTGTATTCAGCTTATTAGCTTTGTGTTAATTTTGAAAAAAAAAAAAAAAGCCAAAAGAATAAAAAAAATTCTTACATGTTAAAGATGTTTCATTTTCTTCTTAGTGTTGCTTTGAGGCTTATGTGAAAATTAAATTCTCTTAATTACCTGGTGAATGATACTGGTTATAATAAGATTTTAAAATTGTTTCTGCAGCTCTTAGGTTATCTGAGGTCTGCGTTATAGCTCCCAGCCCTGTTTCCTTGTTTTCCCATGTATCCTAACTGCTCTGCTTCATCTGGATATGTATGCTAGCTTTCATTGCTTTAGCTCTGATTTTTCTTTGAGTATTCACAAAACCTGTCTCACTACACAGCTGACTTAATTGAAGTTACAAGAGGGAGTAGGAAGTGATCCCTTGAATGGATGTATAGTGTGTTTTGCTCACTGTGGTTTAAGAATATAGTTTTGTTTACAAATGATTAATGTTCCCTGTTGAAAAAAAATTCAATGCCAGTGTGAGTCATCTTGCTCTCTCACCGTCATCTCAGTGTTAAATTTACTACCATTGTTTTAGTTTGTAAAATAGATTGTTTTGAGTAAATTCTGTCTTGAATGAATATTTAGTTAACGTTGTTTAAAGAAACCTAATAACCAAAAAGGGGTAAGGGTGCCATTTATGCTATCCAAATTTTATGAATTTGTGGTAGCATGTTTTGACTCTCCATGAATTATAAATAACAGGTTATTTTGAGATGTTCATTTTGTAAATCTTTTGGGAACAAACCTCATTTTTCTTTGAATGTGATTAAGTTTATTTCTATTTTACTGGGTTGTAAGAGCAATTATGTATGTGTTTTATAGAGTAATAAAATGCTTTACTTAAAATGAGGTAAGTACTATGTACAGAGGTAGAAGAAAATATGAAATGTTTTGGTAGCAAGAACTTCTTGTAAATATCTACAATAACTAGAATTGTTTTTATGTAATATGTTCTAGTCAACACAAGAAGGAATTTTGATTTTAGAGTTAACTCATATGTAGATAATTATTTCTCTTGCCCACCTCATTTCCATTCCTCTTATTAAGGAGAAATTTTCAGATAGAGAAAAGTGAATTTTATTTCGTTGAGTTAGTAGTGCATCTCTAAAATTATGAGAATCCTTTTAATTCAGTATATTAATGTGAAAATCTATAAAAGTGCCCTGTCAAGTATTTATTTAAATCTTAAAAGATGAATTTACCATGAATTTAAAATACTAATTCTAACAAATGTGCATAGATAAATTTCTAACAGAAACAGTTATAATTTGAGTTGTTAATAATGGCTTGATATAGTATCTTAAAATACAAGTACTTCTCTGTGTGTTGAAATTTTACTTAGTGCTCACTTTAGTTTACAGACTTTATTAAAAAGGTGTAGATTCCATTTATCATCTTAGTTGTTTTAACATCTGTTTACATAGGCCTTTCTTTTATAATTAATAGCTAAAGCAAGTAATTGTGTGGCTTTGACATTACAGATTTTACCAAATGATACATTGAAAACATGGACGTTGAATGTATTTGTCACTTTTAAGCTTCTTTTTGATATCTTTGTTGATGTAGTTGCCTACTTAGACATTTGAGAGTATAATATGGAATTGGATTATTGGAAATGGGTTGTATTGCCTTCAAATTCACTTTCGTTTAAGACTGTAAAATTTGTATTTCCAAGTGCATAAAATGTAAAGTGTTTAGAAATAGAAATAAAAACTGCTAGACTATCCCCCATATTTTATGTCTGTATGGTGAAAATTAGATTTATTAATAGAAAAGATCTATCTATAAAGTATAATCAAACAAAAGAGTGCATTAGTCCTGGGAAAAGATGTGTGTTGCAATTTTACAAATGGGATTCTCTATATAAAAATAGTATAATTCTCCACTGGAGTGATAATGACACAAAGATGCAGTGTATGTGATATGTTTTATGGAAGAGTTGAATATTTTTGTTTTGCTATGACTTTAAATAGTTTTTCCCTCTTAATGACTTTTTATCCCTTCCAGCGCAACAGAAAATTTAGGGAGATAGCATTCTTTTGCAGTTAGATTTATTAATTTCCCAGTAATTATTATTTCAGGTTAGAACATATGCCTTGTCTCTCTCTAATACATAAACCTGTTTTTTAATAGTGTAGTGCAGATAATAAAAATAAAACATTTGAAAGCTGCCATTTTGTATTTTTTCCCCATTAAATAGTTTCACTAAATAGCTTCATCAACATAAGATGAAGATGCAATAAAAGATAACAATAGTAATGGCTGAAGTTATCTGAAAGATACAGGCATATAGAAACTATATATATAAAAGAGAAGTCTGGATTGTATTTTTTTTTCTTTTGCAGTTTTAAAATTTTAAGTTATTACTGCTAGGCAGTGTGAATGCATATATGTACTGATGCTCTTAAGATACAACCTAGGAAAGGACATAATAGAAAAATTTATAGCAGTGGCAGAAGTAACTCTTAATTGTAGAGCAAAAAGTATTTTTCAGTTATTTTTATTTCAAAATATCACTAAACTGTGCCCTATGAACATGTTCAAACTGAAAAAAAATTTTAAAAAACCTTCTGCCCTCTTGACTCTTAAATCACTTTATTATTGAAGTGGTTTCTTGTCATTTATACTTTCATTACCGACTGTTTCAGTGGTTACTTATATCCAAGTTAATTGAATGTTTCTTGTGAACCTCTACCTGAAGTTTGCATATATATGTATTCTTTAAATTTTAGTTTATCAACTTTATTCTATTTTTTTTCTTTTATGTGAGTTTTAAATGAACTTTATCATTGTAGATTCCCACTTAGCTTGTTTTGGTTAGTTTATAATACTACGTTAGGTATTTCTATATAGGTGGAATAGACTAAAAGTAAAGTAAATGTTTTAAATTTGTATTACGTCTAAAGATTTGTACGTGGATGTCATTAATTTAAATGTCCATACTCTATTTATAAATCTTACTTACAAATTTTGTAACATGGAACACCATTTGATTTATAATACTTGCAGAAGTTCCTGTATGCTGTTAAATAAATTAATTTGTAAAATAATTTTGCATTTTATATTTAGTTCAGCATTTAATTGTTAAATGAGTTTATAGACTTGATATGTGGGTGAATGAAAAATATTTACATAAAAATCATCCAAGCATTTTCCATTTATTTTTGTAGTATGCATATTTTAGAAAATGACTTATGAATGTTTCCATCATCACAGAAACAGTAGCTGCTATGTTTTCATTACTGCTTCAGTCATTAAATTTATAAGGCAATAATATTTAAGAAGAATGAAATCAGAATGTCTCAGTTTAATCATCAGGTAAATTGGAACATTTCACCACCACAAAGGCAGCTACTGTTTCAGTTAATTCTTATTTTGTGTTAGAATACATAACAGTGAAGTAGATGCACGACTTGTGTATGTATAGTTAAGCCAGCGTTTTTCTGTGTATTTTGGGGAATAGCAAAATCTACATCACAAATTTTGACACATTACAGCTGAAGGAAGAGGATCACCTTCCAAGACAAAACAGTCTTCATGGGGGAAAAATGACGCTTGTCCAGCAGTTTGCTTCTTGTGATTGAACTGAACCTGTAAGGATTCATGGATAAAATGAACAGGAATAGATCTGAATAAAGCAAATCTGCATAAATGGTAACCAGTAGCTCTACTTTTATTTTTTATGTTGCTTAACTGTTTTATTTGAAGGAAACCTGTGTGATTTAAAAAGTTATAGCTTTTGCAACTTTATTACTGGTTATATACATTTGGCCATTATGATGTGCAAGCAATTGGAAAAAAAGTCAAGTAAATGCTTGTTTTTGTAGTAGTTTGTTCTTGTTAAAAATGTTTATATGATAATGTCTGTAAACAGCATCACTTTGATTACAATAGATGTAGTGTTGTAATAAACTGTTTAATGGGGCTGATGTGTAAAGCTGTTCAAGTTATTTGATGTTTACACCTCAGGGAAAGTCTTGTGTTCAGCAATATCTAAAGATAATGTTACTATGACAACATTTTTACTGTCCTTTAAAGCATTGCAATAGCGTTTTTGGATATGCCTCAATCTAATCTTGCGTTCAGTGAATTAAACATAGTAATTAAGTGTCTTTTGCCCTTGATTTTGATATTAGAATAGGTGATTACATGGATATTTAATATTTCTATATTCTGCTTTTCTAGCTGTTTTTACCTAGTTAGCTTGTGACTTTGCTGAATGGTATGTAAACTTGTAAAAATAGAGATTTGACAGACATAGCAATCTAGTCAATGTGTAAGGGGTCAAAAAAACAGAGGTTTTAACACATAAGTAAAAACCCGTACATATTTGATGTGTAATGCAGGTTAATTACAACACAGATGTACCGAAACACTTAATTGTGAACCGCTAACATTGAAGAAATTTTGACAATTCCGATTTGATGCTGCAATTACTTGCTGTTTTTATTGATCTTATGGTTTATTTCTTAAGCCATAGTCAGTGTAAATACAGCCCTGCAGCAGGTAAATGTGAGTAAAGAGAGCCTTATATTTTCCAATTGGTATAAATTTTTGAAGGATGTGATGTTCATTAACATTCGGTTGTATTCCCCAGTATTTGTAATGGGAAATTACAGATAAACCGTGTCTGCACAGTTTAAGGAATACTATGTATATTCATGCACCGTATTGATTCATGCTATAGTTACTTAATCAAAGATTTTTTTCAAACCTGCCTTACATATAGGCCCACTTTAAAAGCACCTGACTAGCATGTGTTCTTGATTGCAAAATTGGCAGAGGCAGGGTGTCAACTTGATTAGGTGTTTTTATGGGAATGTAATTTGAAATCACTACTTCAGAAATTTGACTTAAAATTCTTGAGCACGTTAATATGTTTTTAAGATCTGATTATCTTTGAGAGATCTTCTGTTAATACACATTGGTTGTTAAAGAGTACCCAAATTCTAGGACAATGCTTAAAGTGTTAAAATACCCTAGATACTGTGTTATGTGCAACTGTAGAAACCCTCCAGAAATTTCCACTGCTGTTCTTCACTTTCATCTTGTCTGCTATCAAACCACTTCTGACAAAATTAGCTGTTTTGAATTACCCATATCACTGCCAGTTTTATTTTAAAATATTTTGTGTTTGAAGTATCTGTGCATGGGATCGTTGATGTTTATCAGAACTGTTCACTTTCAGAAATGATTTTTTAAAGCATTTTGTTGAAAATGCGGTTGCTTTTTTAACATTATTTTAGAGTTGTATCAAAATTTTCCTGTTTTCTGTATATTGTTGTGTCATTTCTTGGCTTTTTAATATTTTGACTACAATGCCCTAATGCGAAGAAGTATGGACATATAAATATTACAAGAGAAATTAGTTAATAGTAAAGGGTTAAAAGGTAAGTAAAATGTCCATGAAAATAAAATTTTCTTTGAACAGTTTAAAAATGGAATCACAAAAATCTAACTGCACTTGAAATGAAACTGGAAATTTTATACTAATTAAATCCTTTATTTACCTTTTCATATTTTATCAATGGAACCTTTTAATTGCTCCTTCTATATCACTCTTCTCCTTGCTTGGCTGATCTCATTACATGACTTTCGTTACAGACAGTGTGAGTGTACTAGATTTGTTTGCTGCTAATCCGTTATTTTAAGTGTTGTCAGAAGGAAATAACTTCTTGGTTTGACCAAGTAATTTTGCAAAGTCCTTCTCTACCTGATAACACGTGAATGTATAGCAGTAAAGGTGAAAATTGCAGGCCTTGTTTTGTTCTTCATACCCCCTTCAGTTGTTTATGGGTTAATGTTATTTGAAAACTCTTCCTTTTTTTAATGTGTAAAAACAATCCAAAGAGATAAATCCTTGCATAGACACCAAAAACAGTGTCTCAGAGACCTTTTCATTTTTTCCTTAGTTAATAACTGTAGTGGATGTGAAAACAAACGAGTTGAATTTTAAAACATAGCATTTATTAGTGCTATACAGTCACATTCCTTTCAGCCAGTAGTAAAGTTAAACAGATGAGTGATACAGTACCTGAATGGTACTGCTTCTGAGGCAACACTTTGGATTGAAAGTGCTGCTTTTGGTTAAAGGAACTATGTTGTGGAAAGCATATTCCAGTGTAAATTTGCAGATGTGTGTTTTTTTTTTTTGTCACTTTTCATAAGGTTTGGAGTAAGTTGCAGTGGCTTTTGATCATAGTTTAGCCCATTTAATGGTCCTTTTACCTAGAATGTTCTTAAGCAGTTAATGACAATTTGGAATACACAGATAACTTGTAGCTTAAGATACTATTTTCATTTAATTCTCCTGTGGAGAATATTGCTTTATTTTTTACTAGTTTCAGGTCAGTTATTAAAATAAACATGGAGGTTTTAATGAATGTTGTATAATATTTTATAGTGAAGGAAAATTGTGGAAAGGGCAAAGACTTTCTCTTTCCCTTATGTATTTAACTGTGCCAATCTAAATACATACTGTTTTATACAATGAGATGCATTACAAGACTTTTCTGTTGGAGTGCTCTCGACATTTTGGTTTTCATACCTGAATGATCATTGCATTTTCTGTATTTTCTAAAATGGCTCCAATTTTGTGTTTTAAGCTTCAGCTTAAGAGGAAGTTTATGTTCTAATTCTTGACTGAGAATACAGTATTGAGATTCTCTGTTTTACAGATAACAACTGGTTTTTATTACTCATTAAGTTCATTTGCATCCCGTAGCCCTCTGTAAATGTTTCCCCTAGTTGTATGTACGTAAATGCACGCTTATCCAGTGTATATTAGACATTTTTGTGCTAAAATATATTAAGTGGGATTTTTGTAGCAAAGCATTCTATTTTTCTGTTCTTACAGTGTGTGTGTGTGTGTGTGTGTGTGTGTATGCGTTTTTTTAACCTTAACTTCAGTTTAAACACTGGTGTATTTATTTTTTTAAGCAACTTGACTCTTAGAAGCCTTAGACTGATTTTTTCAATAAATATTCAACCAAAAATTATAAATTTATTAAGATGTGGCCTTACATATGGCATTCCTTGTGTTCGTAATGTGAGATTTTTGATTTAGATAAATCAAGATTCAGGATTAAAGTTTCATTGTAAGTTGAAATAGAAAATGTATTAAAATGTCTAGGCTTCTGGGAGGAAGTTCTTATACTCTTCTTTCTTGGCATTAGAAAGAAGCAATATGAATTTTTGTGAATATTCTAAATATTCAGGCAACACTGTTCAGATTGATTTAGGTTTGTCTTAACCAATGTTCTTTTTTTAGAATTTCAGGTTGTGGCATTCACTGAGTATGCAGCTACTATGGTTTTTGTATGGGACGTATAAATACTTGATTATATACGACAGATTTTAATGTCTTTAAAGACTTCCTGCTGTATTAACATATTGTAATGGAGTCTTTTAAATACTAGGTTGAATTTAATTGAAGTCACACACATCTTGAAGTGGTAACTGCATAGTAAATACTACCAAGAGTTTTTTTCACGTGGGAGTATCCTAAAACTCTGCCATGGGTGTAAATGTTTTACATTAATTTCATAATTGGACAGACCCTGCATTTAGCGAAAACATTTTGTTTTGAAAGTGTGTTCTTTTTGTCGCACTGTTACTGCGTAACACTTCTCAACATTCTGTAAGTTAAATTATTTTAAAATAACTATGGTGAATTCATGTTTATTTTTTTACTTTGAAAATTGTAGTACTCAGGTGGTATTTAATGGGAAAGGATCCTTTGGGTATAAATCATAATGTATTTTAAGGAATGCATCTATAACATTGATAACTTTAGCCTTAAAAAAAAGGTCTATTATTCCTTCCTCTGCATCCCATGGTATATTAGCAAAGTAGTTTACAGCCCTGTACAGCCTTACAAAGTTGTTTTACAATTTTTAATGGAAAGCCCTTAACAACAACAACAAAAAATTGTATCATTTTACCAATATCCACGAATTACTGATCACAGTTTGTAAATAATTTGTTTAATATCAGAAGGCCAAAGAAAGTCTTAAAATTTTAGCTATTGACTCTATGGTGACTTCACAATAAGATTTCTGTGCAAAAAGGTAAGGTGATAATTGATCTAATAGACTTTTTTTTTTTTTTTTTTGCTGTCCATGAGAATTAGACTTCATATTAGCTTCAATTAAAAAGCTCATTCCATTTTATTAAAATGTTTGTAATTGCAATTTTGTGTTTAATGTTTACTTTGTCTTTCCTTTCTTTAGCATTTAGGTGACTGTTCGGCAGTTTGATATATGGCCATTGTCGGCCTTAAACTGCACTAGTAACAAGCATGGTATTTATCTTGTATTGAAAATAAAACAAACTTTTGATAAGACTTTGCAGTTTGTCTTTTTTGTTTAATTTGTTATTTGGTAACCATTGTGTATGGTTTTAAGTAGTTAATGTTTATTGGCAATATGCAGTATAGCAGAAATTGGACTGTTGTCTGTATTCTATCTTTAAGCCAGATAGTGGTGGTTTTCTTGTGTATTGACATTTTGGTGCTCTTTAAAGCGACTGATAATTGGGCTAAAATTAGGATTAAGAGGCCTGACAGATTTCCAGGCTGTTACATGGTTTTTAAATGGAAGATTCAGAAAGCATTTGTCTAGTTTTAGAGGATCATTAACCTTACTAGACTTAAGTAAAAATGTTTGTAGCAAAAATATTTTACTGGTTAGCTTGGAAACATTATGGGGTACTTTTGAAACAGTAACAGACTTCAGTTTCAGTGATTTCAGTAGATATTTCTGTGCCAGGTATTAATATCAGGCCTCAGATTTCTTACCTGCAAGCTTCAGAGTATTAAAGGTAACAGTTCTAAACAAGTGAATATGAACATGAGAAATAATACTACCATCACTGGGATCCCTTTCCATGCCTCCACTAAAATTGTGGTTCAGATTTTTGTTAGATTTCCTGTTACTGTTTGTTGTATGTTTCCATTGATCAATCCCTATTTGTGTTGAATTAGTTGAGACTCTCGTCCCTACCCTGTGAGGTCATTTAACTTTAAGAGAAGATCATTAGGAATATTTTTTGGCCAGATGCCACACTACATATGACTCAGTTCAAGACCTAATTTAGTGAAAGAGAGAAGCTTTTTTTTTACAAAAGATTTATGGACAGACTTTTCCCAGTCTTCCTAGTTTTGTTTCAGAGCCATTACCATGAAACAATAATTATTAGAAATGATTTCCAATGATGTTGTTGGTCTTTTTCTCCCATTTATAGTTCATTAACAGTTCTTGGATTTTCGTGTGGTACATCAGTTCTGATAAACTATTGTCAGTTCCAGATAAATGATATATACTTTACCTTTCAAAAATCTATATTCATTTTATAGAAAAACTTTAAAAAATGAAATTTACTACTTTAATGTTATACTGAGATCTGTAGGAAAAAAATGGTGAATGGGAAAGGGAAGTACCTTTTAGGCAGAGACTTGCAAAAAGGGCTTTTGGCAAGAGGAGCATGCTAGTAGGAACTGAAAGAATGCCAGTTTGGCTGAAGCAGGGAGTGAAGAACATAGCCTATGTGTGGAGCTCAAGCAGTTGGCAAGGCTAGGCTCTCCGGAGCTTGTAGGTCACATTAAAGATTGTCCTAAGAGTCATGTGGAATCATTGAATTGTGTGAAGTGTCATAATCAACATTTCAAAAAGCTTCTTGGCTGCAGATTAAATTGATAAAAGAATAGATAAAAGAGAAACACCTCTTCCTGTCAGGAGAGAAGATAAGGGTAGATAAAAATAGAAGTTTGTGGGCTGTAGGTGTGTGGTAGAAATTTTAAGATGTCATATTTAGTGACTTATGTTTTCTTTGAAATAGAAATTGAGGGCATTGTGGTGTGGGCATGGCTTAGTTTAGAAGTAACAGTGTTTATCTGTGAGATTGTCAGGGTTTGCTATCTAAGATAAGGCTCCCATTTTTATGGTGGCAGTCCATCTAGTAACACATTCATCCCCTGGGAGAGGGTAGATGGATCAAGCTATGGGACGGAGAAGGCAGTAATTGTCTTCATCAGTTTTCACTTTAACGGTTGTCAACCCAGCTGAAGAACACAATCACCGATGCTGTCCTGTTGTTTTTTAGGGGATTGCTATTAACATTTTATTTTTTGAGACAGTCTCGCTCTCTCACCCAAGCTGGAGTGCAGTGGCGCATTCTTGGCTCACTGCAACCTGTGCCTTCCAGGTTCAAGTGATTCTTCAGCCTCAGCATCCCGAGTAGCTGAGACTATAGGTGTGAGCCATCACACCCGGCCAATTTTTTTTTATTATTTTTATTTATTTATTTATTTATTTATTTTTTGTAGTTTTAGTAGAGACGGTTTTTCACCACGTTGGCCAAGCTGGTCTCGAACTTCTGGGCTCAAGTGATGAGTCTGGCTTTGCCTCCCAAAGTGCTAGGATTACAGGCGTGAGCCACTGTGCCTGGTCAACCATCAACATTTTTTAAAAATTGTTTTTGTACCTATTGCTTCATTAGTTTCTTAATTATCCTATAAGACAGTTAGTATTCTTTTTTTGTTTTTCTTTTTTTGAGACAAGATCTTGCTGTCATTCAGGCTGCAGCGCAGTAGTGTGATCATGGCTCACTGCAGCCTACCCCGGGCTCCTGAGTAGCTGGGATCACAGGTGCATGCCACCATGCCTGGCTAACTTTTTTATATTTTTGGTAGGCATGGGGTTTTGCCATATTGTCCAGGCTGGTCTCAAACTCTTGGGGTCAAGCAATCTTCCTGCCTTGGCCTCCCAAAGTGTTGGGATTATAGGCATGAGCCACCACACCTGGCCAGTGTTCTACTTTTAAAAGGGAGGTAATGGGCTCTGAAAGGTTATGACTAGCAGAATATAGTGAGTAGAGGTTAGAATGATTTTATGATTCTAAATTTTCAGTTATTTACTGAATGTCATGATACTGAGCCACCACCCCTGTAAGATTTTAAGCTTTACTGATACCCAAACTAACCATTTAGGAACATACTACTTTAAATTTTTCATTTGCACAAATGTTGAGTACCTACTCTACAAGATACTGTGTTAGATACTTTTGTGTAAGATAGGCCATAGCATTTTATTGTGGTATCTTGTCTCATGTAAATACAGGTTCTACCTACACAATTACTATAGCTGTCAGATATGAGGTAGGTGGGTCTAACATGCAGAAAATGTAGGCACTGAGTCTAGAAATTGGACCCCTCCCCATTACAGTATAGAAACCAGTCCCGTGTACCACTTTAGCTCTTTATTCCCCCTGAAATAGGTTATCATTTTACATCATGACCTCTTCAGCTTTCCTCAAGTAAGGGGAAAAAATTATCTTAACACAAAATGCAAGAATCTTACCTAGGCGTCTAACCTAAGAATACCGTCAGAAGTTATTTGTAGAACGTGAAAACTGGAGCTAATAGTTATTAAAGGTAGGCCGGGTGCAGTGGCTCACACCTGTAATCCCAGCAGCACTCTGGGAGGCCTAGGCAGGCGGATCATGAGGTCAGGACATCGAGACCATGCTGGCTAACACGGTGAAACCCCGTCTCTACTAAAAATACAAAAAATTAGGCGTGGTGGCAGGCGCCTGTAGTCCCAGCTACTTGGGAGGCTGAGGCGGGAGAATGGCATGAACCCGGGAGGCGGAGCTTGCACTCCAGCCTGGGCGACAGAGCGAGACTCCGTCTCAAAAAAAAAAAAAATAGTTATTAAAGGATTTTATTGATGGCTGCCTTTTCACAATAGTATATCTTAGGTTATGTATTGTAAACACTTTTCTGATGAAGTTATTTTTATACAACTTAGAAATTGATCCAAGGATACTGGCAGCCCATTCTACTCCAAGTGTGTAAACTTGAGCCTTTTATATTTCACACTGTAAACACATGCTGTGTATGCTTGTGCACAGTGAGAGACTGCCTACTTCTATAGCAGTCCATTTTATGTTTTCCTTGACTTACTAAATCATCTAACTATGAATGGACACTAAAAGACGTATGGCCCACCTCCTCTTATCTCTATTATGTGTACCTGGGCAGTAAGTTATCTAGAGTAATTTATCTTCTGACAGTTGTTTCTTCTGCTTACACACACAGACAGAATGTGCCCTCTAATTAGATTTGGCTGATACTAGTTATTTGATCGGTTAATAGGAAAGGTAAAAACGGAGTCAAATTTATGTTTGTTCTTTTTAGTTTCCTTTGCTGTTTCTCTCCCCTAACCATTTAATTTTTGAGGGCACTTCCAGGGGACTAGTCTCTACATTTGGTGCTCTTATCCAGACTCATGGCTGT